>NC_000007.14:86143142-86446172 GCF_000001405.40 Homo sapiens
AGTTTCAAGATAAACAATTTTCACCCTAGTCTGCAGAAGTTTTAACAAAAATTACAAAGAGATACTAATGTTTGTTTGCATGAATTACAAAATATGTCTCCATCATTGTTTAGTAGGGGAAGCATTTTGAAGAAGTTAAACGAAAGAATCTTCTTCTCTGGATTAGTACCATGTCTTCTGCCTATACACACCCCAAAAATCCTTTCACCAACATCTTGCACTCTTTTCCATATATTATACAACAATTAGGGCAGAATTTATTTAAGCTTTTGATTAATTCTTGTAATGAATATGTTCTAAGTGCCTACCTCAGAAACAATGGATTCTCCAAGATGTAGGTTTGTATATTTCTATAAAATATTTCATAGGCAAATATGTAGATAAGACAGGCAGACATCCAATTTCTGTTCTTACTGATTTTCATGAAGTGTTAAAATATTGCTAGGGTAAAGTGACTGTCATCACCAGTAAAAGCTGATGCTCCAGGTGTTTTGCTCATATGGTAACAAGATAGCGATGGTTGCTACTTTAATGATAATAAGCTAAGAATCTTGCATACTGTTTAACTCTGTCATCACACTAATAGCTTCATTTGGGCACAGCCAATGCCACATTATTATATCTTATATCTACATAATATATATAATCAGTGGCACTTTTCTCTCTCTCTTCAACATCAAACATCATGCCATCTATTTTCCTCTTGCTATTGAAACGTGTCCCTTTCAAATACTTCAGACTTCATTGGCATTTGCTGCTGCTCTGAAGAAGGCATTTGGCAGCAATTTTTAAAACGACAGTGGGGTTATTTAGAAGACCTCATGCTCCATGGCATTTTTGTCATTCTGCCTTTTCCCTGTAGCTGTGTAGCAACATTAATGTGACAGCAAGCTATCTAACCTTGTGTGACCTAGTTTAATTAGCTTCCCTAGGCCTCATGGTATCATCTGTAAAATGAACCAAGTAGAAAAGAAACGACAAAACCATGCTGATAATGTAAATTACAGAACATTCCATTTTGAGAAAATTTTATTTTGACAGATGAATTTCAAACTATCATTTACTTATTTTTTATTTAGTAAAACAAGAATTTAATATTAAGAAGATGATAATTACTGAAATTAGGTTAGAGATTTTGCTAATAAGAGAAACATAATATGTTGGAAAATCTCATTCTTAAGTTACTAGTATGATTACCATACAACAATGTGCAAAAGTTAAAGTTGCTTGAAAGTCATATTCCAAATTGGATCAAATGCACTCTGATGCAGCCATCTGCAATCAAATCTGTGCTACGCTACGTGATGGGAAAGCAAAATAAAATAATGCTGGAGTGAAAACCTTCCCTTAAATAATAGATGCTGATAATTGTGGCCAGATTGCTCTTGCTTTAATCTATTAATATAATTCTTAGTAATTTATGTATTCAAGTATTATTAGAAGGACATCAAAACAAACTAAATTTGAGAACACACCAAAGAAAACTGCTATGTTTTAAATAGCTTTAGATTTTAGGAATATGATTGGGGAAAGACCAAGGCTGCTGGAGGGTATGTAACAGAAATGGAGAATCAGGCTTCCATATTGTTCTCCCTGAGGTTTAGTTGTCCCTGTACTGAGAAAACATATTTTCACCTAATACTACCTTTACTGGCACCCTAGTGATTGGTGACAGGGCTATATCTTTTGGTTATCTCTAGATACATGATTCTTGAAAACATTAATTGCAACAAGAGCAAGCACAAGAACAAATGAGTTAGATAAAACTCTATCAAAAGAATTGGTACAATAAGGACAATATACCATGACATAGAATGGCACTCCTCCAATTTGTTAAACCCATCCCTTTCTTCACATTATTGCTTCTATCTTTTGCATAAGAAATGCACTTGGAATTTCAGTGATTACTCTGCTAAGAGTTTAGCTAAAGATTATAAATTATATTATCGCTGTGTGAGCTGCAATTGATTTTATTTACTGGATAAAGGTCTGGAAAATATCAGCTATGTATAGATCCTTTACTGGTTTTGATTTGATCAGTTTTCTCTCAGAAATTAAAATCTTGGATAATATTTCTTCATAATAATAATAGAACAGGGAAATGATTAGTCGGTTTCCCTATTTCTCTGAGTTAAATTCACTCTGAAACAATCCAGCAAGAAATTATAATCCCAAAAATACAAGCAATTAAACAAAGAGTTGATAGCATATATTTAATTCTTAAGCCAGAGATAATGATAAGCAGCTTAATAATACATAAGAACAATATGGAAATATTCCAAGTAAATCAGCGGGGTTCAGGACCCATTCCTTCTTGCCTGCACAAATATATCACTCTAGCAATGCTTCTTGCTTCTTCCTGAATACTTAATTTTTCTTTTTAAACTTGTTCGTTACCATCTAAAAATACTCACATTTAAAAAACTGTTTCTGGCTTGACCTTCGCCTCAATTTTTTTCCCATTTTTTTATTCCCCTTCACAGAAAATCTCATTGAGAGAATGTGTTATTTGTAGTTTCTATGATGCCTCTTCTATTTCCCTTCGGCCCCGCCTATTCAGACTTTCACCCTAACATGCCAGTATAACTCTCTTGCCAAAGTAACCAATCACCTCATTCTTACTAAGTACAATGTCAATTTTCAGTCATTATTCTAATTAATGTGGAGGCTCTGGAGTATTTGAAAGCCATTCCTGGGAGTCAAGAAATAGTTCTTTGCTGTCACTGTGTTTGTTGTGTTCTCTGTTCTTTGTCCTCTATTAAATCTACTAAATGTGTTGCTGTGTTAAGCCTATTGTGCCTTATAAGTTTGATTATCAATCAGAAGTCAGGACCAGTGCTACTTCTTAACCACTTCCAGCTATTGCAGATTGGTATCATTAATGCAACTGACTTTTAGACCTACAACTCAATATGGCAAGGGTGCTTTATGGTGAAGAAAAGAAGAGGAAAGACAGACATAAGAATAAAAAGAAAGAAGGGGAAAGAAAGAGAAAAGAGTGAAGATTTTGATGTCCAACGAGTTGCTGACTCGCTATCAGTATGAAGTCACAAAAATTCTGTGTCAGAATATCAGGCATAAATTTCATGTATTTTATTTATTTGTTTGCTTGTTTATTTACTTATAAGTAAAAAGGTTTGAATCCTGAAGATTTGGGAAAATGAATTTATAAGATAAGGCAGACAGACAAAAAATTAGTGAGTAGTACTCCGATGTGGTTGTTGCTTAGCTGAATTTTAGTGTTAGTAAAATTGTTAGAAACTGAAGGAAAGAAAAGAGTCAATCATACTGGGTAAGACAGACCATCAAACAAGGTCTTGTTATACACCAATGATTCCATTGGGGATTTGGAAAATACAGTGTTCAGTTATTATTCTCTATGTATGACTATTGTTCACTAGACACATTCCTAGGTACACAATGTAGTGGAGAGGTGACCACGGATATTTATGGATAGAATACAGTTCAAAGGCACATGACTCTTTGCTTGATAATACTAGCAACCACCTGATGAATCTTTGCTCTCTCAGATTCTTTGACTAATGATCAGGAGACTAACAATTCTATGGCAGACATATGTGAACAAAACGGACTATGTAAGTTGAGTTCCAGCAGTGTTCAGCATACAAACAATTTTCTAGAATTTAGAAGTAATTGAATTGATTTATTTGGAATAGATAAAGGCATAAACAGAACATAAATACAGCAAGTTTGCGCTGGAAAAGGTTTCTGTTTGGCTTTCTCACTTTTCTAAAACAATGGACTATCCCCTGAAACTCTTGAAATATTTCACATACAAGCAAATTGATTGGGTTTATGATGACAAGAAACAACCCAACCAAAATAGTATGTGGCTGTAATGTAAACAAATATGATATGGGCAGTGCCTTTTGACTGGGCTCCTTTATTTCAACCGTATATTCAAAGGGTTATAGACCATATAGGAAATAACCCACCTGCTATCATATCTGCCATGCATTTATTTGATTTAATAATGAAAAAGGTTTTAACCGTTCCAAAGAAGGAAGATGGGCAAAATAAAAATAAGAGAAATTGGGGAAAAATAATGGTTAAGTTGAGTCGAAATCTGTCTGTAGGTGATAAAGAGCAAAATGAAAATCAAAATGAGGAAATTAACAATGCTGTTACAAAATACCTATCCAACCAAGATCACCAGATCAAGGATGATATTACATTATGCTTATCCCAGCTTTGGTCGCTATCAAACTTCAAAGGCTTTAAAAATCCTTCTCCATTTATCCTAAGTGGAATAAATTTAAATCCAATGATGCTGAAAGAGACTGGAAGAAGAAAGCATTGATGTGATATATTAATGAAAGTTTTTAATTGCCAGAAATTGTCAAACCATTATTAATACATTATTATTAACTGAAGTACATAGTTTATAATAGGATTCACTCTTTGAGTTCAATACTTCTATGGACTTTTTTTTTTTTTTTGAGGCAGGGTCTTACTCTGTCACCTGGACTTGAGTGCAGTGGCATAATCATGGCTCACTGCATCCTTGACCTTCTGGGTGCAAGCAATCTTCACACCTCAGCCTCCTAAGTAGCTCAAACCATAGGCATGCACAGCCATTCCCCATAATTTTTTGTTTTCATTTTTGTTAAGATGGCATCTTCCTATGTTGCCCAGTCTAGTCTCGAACTCCTGGGCTCAAGTGATCCTCCTACCTAAGCCTCCCATAGTGCTCAGATTACAGGTGCAAGCCATCATGCCCAGGCAGTTCTATGGATTTTCAAACGTAAAATATCTTCTACCCACCATTACACTATCACACTATCACACAGATTAGATTCACTCCCCTAACATTTCCTATGTTCCAACTATTCATTTCTCACCCTCTGCCCACACCCTACCCACGAAATCTTTAGCCACTATTGATCTTTTTTACTGTCTCCTTACTTTTGTATTTTTCAGAATGCCTTATAGTTAGAATCATACATTAGGTAGTCTTGCCAGTTATGCTTACTTCACTTAGCGATATTCATTTTAGATTCCTCCATGTCTTTTAATGACTTGATGGCTCATTCATTTTAACTGCTGAATAATATTGTTTTATATGGATGTACCATAGTTTATCAACTAATTAACTGAAGGACATCTTGATTTCTTCCAATTTTAAACAACTGTGAATACAGCTATATAACATTCATATGCAAGTTTTTGTATAGACAAGTTTGCAACTCACTTCAGTAAATACTAGAAATGTGATTGATGGATGGTGTGGTAAAACTAGGTTTAGCTTTGTGTGTAATAAACTGCCAAACTGTCTTTCATTTTTGCATTCCCGTAAGCGATGTATGAAAGTTTCTGTTACTGCATATTCTCGTCAGGATTTGGTGTTGTTCTTGTATTAAATTTTAGTCATTCTAGGTGTGTAGTGGCATCTTATTTTAATTTTAATTCGATGACAATATAAGATGTTGGGCAGCTTCTCATATGTTTTTAATAGACATGTTTGTCATTTTATGTACTTCACTTGTCTTTCTGCATGAGTGAGGACTTCCAGTATAATATACAATAGGAGTGGCAGAAGGGGGCATCCTTGCCTTGTTCCTGACCTTATGGGAAAATCATCTATTTTCTCACTACTGAATTTTAGATTAGCTACTTGATTATTATTTTTAGATTTTTTTTTTGTCAAGTTGAGAGGGTTCCCCTGTATTCCCAGTCCGATGAAAGTTTTGTTTGCTGGTTTGTTTGTTTTTATCATTAAACAGTATTGCATTTTGTCAAATACCTTTTCTGCATCTATTGCTATGAAAACATGATTTTCTTGTTTAGCCAGTAGATGTGATGAATTACATTAATTTATTTTTGCATGTTGAAACAGCCTTGCATACTTAAAATATACCCCTATGACAAATTGGTATAATTTATATTGTCTATGCATGTATTCTGAATGTAAGTTAAACTTTCTCAGTCACCCTTGACACAGTATCCCATTCTTTACCTCCTCTTAGTTCTTCAGTGTGGCTGCTCCAGAGTCTGTCTTATACAACTCTCTCCTAGTGACCGCCTCCCTATAGGACAGCTAAATTCAATCTACTTGACTCATCAGTTGTTCATTCCCCACACCCCACAAGGACTGCATAAATATGTTCCAGTGACCATCTCTCAGTCACAGAGTAACCCCACACATCTCATGCCTCGTTGCCTTAAACTCAATAGTTAGAAGTGCCTGAGGAAAGCATGCTTGGGTAATGCTCTAGACCTAAGGGGTTCCTCACTGTCTTTTTCTCTTGTTCTTCACCTACTGCTTGAACACGTCTGTCCTGGACAGCTGCCCTCTTCCCATTGGCTGTGCAAAGTGTGCTGCCCTCTTCCCTCTGGATCTGTAAGTAATAAAAATGCTTCTGTCGTTTCAAGTGTTTGACTGTGCTGCCTCCTCTGTTTCTCACTGACTGACACACCTGAACCTAAATTCTTTCCTGATCAGAGCTATAATTTATAGCTACCCTCAAGAGGGAGACTTCAACACCAAATTAGAAAGAATTTATAAACAAAAAAAACTTTGCTTGTTCATTGTCTATACATATTTGTATGCATGGTTAGACTTGATTTACTAATATTTTGTTGAGAGTTTTTTGCATCCATTTTCATGAGAGAAAATGGTGTGTAGTTTTCCTTTTTTTGTAATGTTATTATCTACTTCTGTTATTAGGGTAAGGCTGACCTTGTAAAATGAGACAGAATTCTTTTGTGTGCTTCTAATTTTTGGAACAATTTATAGAGAATTAGTATTATTTCTCTTGAAATATTTGGTAAAATTCACCAGTGAAACTGAGACTGGGTCTTCTCTTTGTTTTGGAAGGTTATTAATTATTGATTCAATTATTTTAGTATGTAAAGTCGTATTTGGATTATCTGTAGCAAGTGTTTCTGTAGATTGTGTCTTCTACGGAATGTTCTTTTTCATCAAAGTTATCTAATTTTTGGCTTACAGCTGTTTATTATATTCTTTTACTGACCTTTTAATGTCCATTGGGCCAAGAGTGATGGCCATTTTTTAACTTCTAATATTTGTAATGCTTGTGTTGTAATTTTTTGTGTGTGATTCTGGCTGGGGCTTACCAATTTTAATTTTATAGAAGCTAAAAGCCTGGTGACCCATATTTTTCTTTGGCAAAATAAAACTGTCACCTGAGTTAATATGAAAGATAGAAAAAATACCTAACACACTTTGTTTTGGAGAAGAGGTTTTGAGGTAAAATGTTACTACTGCAAGGTGTTTGCTACTACCTTCATATCGCTAATGATTATAAGAAATTAAACTCAAAAAAGAGTTGAAGTCAGACGTGGTGGCTCAGGCCTGTAATCCCAGCACTTTGGGAGGCCAAGGCAGACATACTGCTTGAGTCCAGGAGTTCGAGACCAGCCTGAGAGACATAGTGAAATCCCATCTCTACTAAAAATACAAAAATTTTCCAGGCGTAGTGGCACATGCCTGTAGTCCCAGCTACTTGGGAGGCTGAGGCAGGAGGATTGCTTGAACATAGGAGGTGGAGGTTGCAGTGAGCCAAGATATCACCACTGCACTACAGTCTGGGTGACAGAGTGAGGCACTGTCTCAAAAAACAAACAAAAAAAAGCATTGAACTTTTTACAACCAGGAATGCATTGGAAGAAATAAAATACATATTCAATAAAATACAAGAAAATAGATAGTTTAGAACTTTCTGGGTGGTTACTTGAAGCTATTTCTTTTATGAAACCATAATAGATAAGTTTGAGAAGTGGCATGAGAAACATTTGACTAATTAAGATACTCTTTGGGGGCAAAAAAGTTACAGGAAGGCTGCTAGAAAATTACTAAATAAGAAATCTGAATAAATTAATGTTGCTCACAGGCAATATTTTCAATTTGACATTTCAATAAAAATTTCCTTTAAACCAGTTGATATGGTTTGGCTGTGTTCCCACCCAAATATCATCTTGAATTGTAGTTCCCAATATTCCCATGTGTGGAGAGAGGGACTCAGTAGGAGGTAATTGAATCCTGAAGGTGGTTTCTTGCATGCTATTCTCATAATAGTAAGCTCTCCCAAGATCTGATGATTTTATAAGGGGCTTCCCCCCTTCGCTCAGCTCTCGTTCTTCTCTCTCCTGCCACCTTGTTAGGGACAAGTTTGTTTCCCCTTCTACCATGATTATCAGTCTTCTGAGACCTCCCTAGCCCTACAGAACTATATGAGGCAGTTAAACTTCTTTCCTTTATAAATTATCCAGTCTTGGGGATGTCCTTATAGCAGCATGATAACAGACTAATACTTTAAATTGGTACTGGGAGCGGGGCGCTACTGTAAAAACACCTGAAAATGTGAAAACAACTTTGGAACTGGGTAAGAGGCAGAGGTTGGAAAAGTTTGGAGGGCTCAGAAGAAGATGGGAAAATGTGGGAAAGTTTGGGACTTCCTAGAGATTTGGAGGGATCAGAGGACAGGAAGATGTGGAAAAGCTTGGAACTTCCTAGAGATTTGTTGAATGGCTTTGACCAAAATTCTGATAGTGATATTGACAATAAGGTCCAGACTAAGGTGGTCTCAGATGGAGATGAGGAACTTGTTGGAAACTGGAATAAACGTGACTCTTGCTATGCTTTAGCAAAGAAACTGGCTGCATTTTGCCCCTGCCCTGGAGATCTGTGGAAACTTGAACCTGAAAGAGATGATTTAAAGTATCTTGTGGGAGAAATTTCTAAGCAGCAAAGCATTCAAGAGGAAGCAGAGCATAAAATTTTGGCAAGTTTGTAGCCTGATGATGCAAAAGAAAACAAAAACCCATTTTCTGGTGAGAAATTCTAGCTAGCTGCAGAAATTTGCATAAATGATGAGGAACAAAATGTTAACCACCAAGAAAATGAGGAAAATGTCTCCAGGGTATGTCAGAGAACTTCACAGCAGCCCCTCTCATCACAGTCCCAGGGCCTAGTAGAGAAAAATTGTTTTGTAGGCTGGGCCTAGGGCCCTCCTGCTGTGTGCAGCCTAGGGACTTGGTGCCCTGCATCTCAGTGGCTCCAGCCATGGCTAAAAGGGGCCAAGGTACAGCTCAGGCCATGGCTTCAGAAGGTGCAAGCCCCAAGCCTTGGCAGCTTCCATGTGGTGTTCTTTCTGCAGATGCACAGAAGACAAGAATTAAGGTTTGAGAACCTCTACCTAGATTTCATCAGTTGTATGGAAATGCCTGATGTCTAGGCAGAAGTCTGCTAAGGGGGCAGAGCCCCCATGGAGAACCTCTGCTAGGGCAGTGCAGAAGGGAAATGTGGGGTGGGGGCTCCCACACAGAGTCCCCATGGGGTACTGCCTAGTGGAGCTATGAGAAGCAGGCCACTGTCCTCCAGACCCCAGAATGATAGATCCACCAAGAGCTTGCATCATGTACCTGGAAAAGCCACAGGTATTCAACACTGACCCATGAAAGCAGCTGGGAGGGGGCCTGTATCCCACAAAGCCACAGAGGCAGAGCTTCCCAAGGCTGTTGGAGCCCACCTCTTGTATCAGCATACCCCAGATATGAGAAATGCAGTCAAAGAAGATCATTTTGAAATTTTAAAGTTTAATGACTGCCCTATTGGATTTTGGCCTGTAGCCCCTTTGTTTGGGCCAATTCCTCCCATTTGGACTGGGTGTATTTACCCAATGCCTATACCTCCATTGTACCTAGGAAGTAACTAACTTGCTTTTGATTTTACAGACTCATAGGCAGAAAGGCCTAGTCTCAGACAAGACTTTGGACTTGGAATTCTGGGTTAATGCTGGAATGAGCTAATTTGGGGGGCCGTTTGAAAGGAATAGTTGTGTTTTGAAATGTGAGGCCATGAGATTTGGGAGGGGCCACAGGCAAAATGATATGGTTTGGCTCTGTCCACATGCAAAACTCATCTTCAATTATAATTCTCATAATCTCCATGTGTGGTGGAAGGGATCAGGTGGGAGGTAACTGAATCATGAGGGTAGTTTCCCCAATGCTATTCTTGTGAAAGTAAGTTCTCATGAAATCTGATGGTTTTATAAGGGGTTTCCCCCTTCACTTGGCTCTCATTCTCTCTTCTGCTGCCTTGTGAAGGACGAGTCTGCTTTCCCTTCTGCCATGATTGTAAGTTTCCTGAGGTCTCTCCAGCCAGGTGAACTGGGAGCCACTTAAACCTTTTTTCTTTATAAATTACGCAGTTTCTTGTATGTTCTTATAGCAGCATGAGAACAGGCACCAGTTAAAACCAGAAGAACACATTTTCTTAATCCAGTCTATCATTGTTGGACATTTGGGTTGGTTCCAAGTCTTTGCTATTGTGAATAGTGCTGCAATAAACATACGTGTGCATGTGTCTTTATAGCAGCATGATTTATAGTCCTTTGGGTATATACCCAGTAATGGGATGGCTGGGTCAAATGGTATTTTTAGTTCTAGATCCCTGAGGAATCGCCACACTGACTTCCACAATGGTTGAACTAGTTTACAGTCCCACCAACAGTGTAAAAGTGTTCCTATTTCTCCACATCCTCTCCAGCACCTGTTGTTTCCTGACTTTTTAATGATCGCCATTCTAACTGGTGTGAGATGGTATCACATTGCGGTTTTGATTTGCATTTCTCTGATGGCCAGTGATGATGAGCATTTTTTCATGTGTCTTTTGGCTGCATAAATGTCTTCTTTTGAGAACTGTCTGTTCATATCCTTTGCCCACTTTTTGTTGGGGTTGTTTGTTTTAGTCTCGTAAATTTGTTCGAGTTCATTGTAGATTCTGGATATTAGTGTCATGAAATTGGAAATCATCATTCTCAGTAAACTATCGCAAAGACAAAAAACCAAACACCGCATGTTCTCACTCATAGATGGGAATTGAACAATGAGAACACATGGGCACAGAAAGGGGAACATCACACTCTGGGGACTGTTGTGGGGTGGGGGGAGGGGGGAGGGATAGCTTTAGGAGATATACCTAATGCTAAATGACAAGTTAAAGGGTGCAGCACACCAGCATGGCACATGTATACATATGTAACTAACCTGCACATTGTGCACATATACCCTAAAACTTAAAGTATAAAAAAAAAAAAAACACCAGAAGAACATAAAAGAACTGAAACCAACTATTTAAGTTACTACAATCAAGCTGACTTCACACAGGATTAATTAAACATGTTTTTAATGTCTAAATTTTTGTAGTTAGTTTTGCTGCAGAAAAAATAAATGTTGCATAGCACAGGATGAGAAAGAGGAATTATTAAACCTATTATTTTTATACAAATATTTTAATCTCCCAAAGTTTATAGTATGTAGCTCTTAACACACACAAAAAATGCTTTAATACTTATGGCATCAGGTCCTTATAGTAATGTTGATCGTTAGACCAAATACATAGTGTCTGTGCTATAGGATTTACAGTCTAGAAAACTGAGATTTGTATAGGCAAAGTAATTTTCTAGTCTTGAGAAAGATAAGGCGAGGACCTAGGTGTTTCACTTCCAGTGCTGGTATTTTATATTGTACTAACTGGTTTGAATATTTATTAAGCATTTATTATATTAATGATCTCTGGTCTATATTTATACTAGTTATTTAAATGGCAGTGCAAAAAACTTTTTTGAAAAGAAACTCTTCAAAGAGATATAGGCATTATTAGCTTATTCTTTCTTGGTTTGAGAAGACGCTAAATCATTCAGCAACCAAATTACCTGTGGTCATAAAAAGCACATCTATCAGCTTGATTCTAATAAAATATTGGCTGCATCTGGCTTCCTGATTTGTGTCATAAGTGACATTTTAGATAGAAAGAAAGTAGTAGCATTTCCATCTGCTCTGTACCACACAATCTAACACCTGATTTTATTTTCATTTGTTTTTATCTCCAAATCTCCAAGATTTACATATCATCTGGTGTCCTTATATAGATTAAAATCTCCTTGAGGACAAAAACTCTATTTTTCACTATATCCATCAGGGCTGTAAGAACAATTGTTAGGTATTTTATTGTTATTGTTTAACCAATAAATAAATGAACATAATTTTCACCTTTATTATTAAAATCAATTTTTTTGTAGAATGGTATTAATCTACATAAAAGCTAATACTCAATTGTATTTCACTTTATGAATGCATATTTTCCTCTAAGAAAATGTAAATAAATAGTTCTTGTGTTCCATAGTGACTTTTTCAATGATTAAATATGATTTATTATTATTTTAGATACATGTATAATCTGTTAAATAGCAACAGTTGCTGAAGCAATATAAATAAAAATGTTTCTTGACCTCAGAGCTCTTATTATAGACTGAAATTTCAAAAGATTGATTTATGGATAGTTACTATTAATAAAATCATTAAAAGGAAAGTTAAAATTCATTAATTCTATAAAAACAAAATAATTTTTATTCTGCTTTATATTCATGAAATTGAATTTCATGGTTAACCAAAAAGTTCAAAATTATCGGTGAAGAAATGTCTTCAGCCTAATTAATGTCAAGTTTTGAAAATGTGTAGTCTATGCTGTGAAAACTGATATTTTCAGCTAAGAATAACAAGATCTTAAGACTTGGTAAAACTGAAGAGGCAGTGTTAGTATTTAGTATTTATTTTTCTCATGAAGTGTTTATCTTTAGTGAAATATGTGCATAAAATTTTCAATGTTGCCTCATGGCTAGTTAAGTGCATTTACAGATTACTGTACTATGGTGTCACTCTAGGAGGAGTCAGTCTGTCATGATTCTCTGTATTCTACAATTCGATAATTCGCCTGAAGATGATTGGGTCCTCTGACAGTTTACTCAATGAAGTTCTGTAAATGCTCATGCTTTCAACAGCAGGATTAGATATCTGTGTAGACATTCAAGTCAATAATTTTATTCTGAATTTTTCTCTAAAATGTATAATGGAATTGTGTGTATAAAACAGGTTTTAATCTTCAAGATCAACATTACTGTTTAACAATTACAATTATATTCAATGCTGCTGAAACAATTGCTTTTCCTTGGCACCTAAAAAGTTCTCCAAATTTGTCTAAACTACTCTGATCTCCAAATCTTCCTTTCATGTTGAGTTTTTCTACTTGGTCCATGTTTATTTGATCTTAAAAGAATCTTGTTCTACTGTAAGTAGAATTTAAAAATGACTAACTTTACATTTCAGTTCAATTTTATTATATTAAAGATCCATATATTGAGCCAAGAATTGTGCTCAGCTATGTTGATGAGTAGGCCAGCAGTGCTCTATAAGAATTGCTATTGAGATTAGAGAAAATAATAACAAGGGGAAGAGGCAGGGAAACAAAAGATTGATTATTCATTGTATTAATGATAGTAATGGTATAACAGAGTTCAAAATTATTTGTTTTATGTGCATAAAAGAAGATGCTACTACTAATTTCACATAAGAAAATCTTCATATTTATATGTTGCCCATAACCATCTGATTGTCCCATATAAAGCTGTAATCTATAAATCTACCTATATAATATGTCCAAACATTGGCTGTATTGCAAGTTAAATTGTTTTATTTTCTCTCTTCAAATATTACACACTTTTAACTATAACGTTTGATTTCTTAAGCCAAAATTAAGAAGAGTACATTATACATTGTTTTATAAGTGTATTAGAAACTATTTCTATAGTTATCTTTGTTTCAAGCCAAGAATCTGAAATTATCTATCTTCAACTATTTTGAAAGTTCTGAGGAATAAATAGTTATAGATGAATTTGAAACCATCACATTTCCACCATAGTTTTCTGTTACGAAAGGAGGTACACTGAAATCTGAGATCAGCTAGCACATTTAATTTTGGAAAGTTTAAGATAATATTGCCAAATATTTCTCATATATATATATGAAGGAAAAATGAGAATAAGAATCTTAAGTTATTTTTCTTACATCATTGGTTATTGTTACCCAATCTTCTTAATATCTCATCATTTAAATGTAAGTTTGGTTCTTATTTTTTTTAAAGCTATTTAAAGTCTTGTTAATGAGTTGTAATATACATGTAGTGAATTGCACAGATCTTAGGTGTATAGTTTGATCCACTTTAACAATGGATTCACTCAATGCAACCCATATACCTTTCAAAACAGAACATTGTTTTTACCCAAGAAAGTTTCCTCATATCCTTTCCCAGTTAATTCCTGCTTACTCCAAGGAGTAATCTAACCTGATTTGAATCACTATTTGTTAATTGATTACCATTTTTAATTTTTAACCGATTGTAGAATTTGTAAAAGGAAATAATATGTATTCTTATGTGACAATTTTTTTCTTAGATTATTTTTACAAGTTATTTTTAATGAAAATTGTATCATTATATTTATCCATGCATTTGCATATATCATTGGTTTATTCTTTTTTATTGCTGAGGATTTTTTAATTATATGAATTATGTGAATATCAAATAGTTTTTCCATTGCCATTTCTTCTTTGTTTTCTGTTAGAGACAGGGTCCTATGCAGTCACCCAGGCTGGAGTCCAGTGATGCAATCACATCTCACTGTAACCTGGAACTCATGGACTCAAGCCATCTCCCAAGTCAGCCCCACAATTAGCCTAATTTTTTTTTCTAAATGTTTTGTAGAAGCAAGGTCTTGCTATGTTGCCCAGGCTGGTCTCAAATTCCTGAAATCAAGTGGTTCTTTCACCTCAGCCTTTGAAAGTTCTGGGATTACATGTGTAAGCCACCATGTCTGGCCATCTATCACCCTGTTGATAGACATCTGGACTGTTTCTAAATTGGCTATTATAAATAAACCTGCTATGATTACTATTATACAAGGCTTTTTGTGGACATATATTTTCATTGCACTAGAATAAAACTGAATCACAGTGAAGAGGTATGTAGAACATTTTAAGACACTGGCTAGAATGTGGCATAGCGGCCCATTTGAGACGTACATCAGGCAGGGGAGCCCCAAACCTCAGCCAAGGGAGGTGAGGTGGTGAGTGAGCATGCTACCCAGCTAGGAAAACCATGCTTTTTCCACGGAACTGCGCAACCCACAGGTCGGAAGACCCCACTTGGGACTCATGCCACCAGAGCCTAGGGTCCCAACCCTGGAGCTGCCCAGATTCTCAAAAGCCTCTCAGCTAGAATCTGCTTAAGCCTGTGAGTTCCCAGGGGGAGGGGCAACCAGTACCACAGCTGTGGCTGCTTGCTGTCTAAGCCTTTTGAGCCCCTTGAGGGAGGGTGCAGCAGCCAGCACTGGGACTCATAACTGCCTAACATGCTAAGCTCCCTGAGTGGGGGAAGGGTGGCATCCATTGCTACAGCTCCAGGACACACTTTTCTCCCACTGGAGCCAGGGAGGCTGAACAGCTTAGTCCTAGGGGTGACCCCCACAACCCAACATACCGACTGTGGAAGAATGAGACCAGAGCACCTCTTCAGGCCTGACTCTGACCCATCCTTACTCACTGTGTGAGTCCCCCCACTGCAGGAACCCCAACAACTCCAGCCAGAGGCTCAGGGACAGAACCCTGGGCCTGAGTCCATAGGGGGAGGGCTGGCCAGAGCCTCTGCAGACCAGAAGACTTAGCCTTTCCTCCTGGTAGTTCTGAGGAATTCAGGCAGCCCAGAAGAGTAGGTATCCCCCCAGCAAAGCACACTCCCTCCACTAAGGGACAGTCAAAGTGCTTTGTTAAATGGGCTCTGTTCCCCATGACCCTCAACTGGGTGAGACCCTCCAACAGGGGTTATCAGACACCCTATACAGGAATAATCCTACTGGCATCAGGTTGGTGCCTCTCGAGTTCAGAGATCCCAGAAGAAGGAACAGTCACCCATCTTTGCTGTTCTCCAGGCTCCTTGAGTGACATCTTCAGGCACAGGGGTGAACCAGAAGAATAAGGTCTCAACTGAACCCCTAGCAAACTGCAACAGCCCTACAGAAGAGAGACCTGATCATTGAAAGAAAAACAGACAAACAGAAAACAACACCATCAACAACAAAAAACGTCCCCACAAAAATCCCTTCCAAGGGTCAAAAGTCTCAAAGACCGAAACTCAACAAACTCACAAAGATGAGAAGGAATGAACAAAAACACCTCTGAAAACCCAAAGGTCAAGAGTGCCTCTTCTCCTTGAAGTGACCACGATGCCTCTCCAGCAAGAGTGCAGAACTGGATGGAGGATGGGATGGATGAATTGACAGAAGTAAGCTTCAGAAGATGGGTAATAAAAAACTCTGCTGAGCTAAAGGAGAATGTTCTAACACAATGCAAAGAAGCTAAGAACCTCAATAAAAGGTTAGAAGAGCTGCTAACTAGAATAACCAGTTTAGAGAGGAACATAAATGGCCTGATGGAGCTGAAAACCATAGCACGAGAACGTTGTGAGGCATAGAGAAGTATCAATAGCCAAATCAACAAAGTGGAAGAAATGATATCAGAGTCTGAAGACCACAAGGCTGAAAAAAGTCATGCAGACAAGAATAGAGGAAAAAAAAAAAAAGAATGAAAAGGAACAAACAAAGCCTTCAAGAAATATGGGACTACATAAAAAGACCAAACCTATGATTGATTCGAGCAACTGAAGGAGACAGGGAGAATGGGAACAAGCTGGAAAACACATTTTCGGATATTATCCAGAACTTCCCCAACCTACCAAGACAGGCCAACATGCAAATTTGGGAAATACAAAGAACAAGAACACCACTAAGACACTCAGTGAGAAGATCAACCCCAAGAAACATAATCATCAGATTCTCCAAGGTCAAAATGCGGAAAAAATTATTAAGGGTAGCCAGAGAGAAAGGTCAGGTCACCTACAAAGGGAAGCCCATCAGACTAACAGTGGATATCTCAGAAGAAACCCTACAAGCCAGAAAAGACTCGGGGCCAATATTCAACATGCTTAAAGAAAATAATTTTCAGGCCAGAATTTCACATCCAGCCAAACTAAGCTCCATAAGCGAAGGAGAAATAAAATATTTTCCAGACAAGCAAATGCTGAGGGATTTTTTCACCACCAGATGTGCCTTGCAAGAGCTCCTGAAGGAAGCACTACATGTGGAAATGAAAAACCAGTACCAGCCACTGCACAAACACACCAAAATATAAAGACCAATGAAACTATGAAGAAACTGCATGAACTAGTGTACAAAATAACCAGATAGCATCATGATGACAGGATGAAATTCACACATAACATTACTAACCTTAAATATAAATGGCCTAAATGCCCCAATTAAAAGACACAGACTGGCAAATCACATAAAGAATCAAGACCCATTGATGTGCTCTATTCAGGAGACCCATCCCACATGCAAAGACACACCTAGTCTAAAAAGAAAGGGACCAAGCAAATGGAAAGCAAAAAAAAAAAAAAAAAAAAAATCAGGGTTTGCAATCCCAGTCTCTGACAAAACAGACTTTAAACCAGCAAAGATCAAAAAAGAAAAGAAGGGTATTCCCTAATGGTAAAGGGATCAATTCAACAAGAAGAATTATCCTAAATATATATGCACCCAACACCTTGGGTGCATATATCAAGGGAGCATAACATCAAGGGTGCATAACATTAAGGGAGCACTTACTCCCTTAATGTAAGGGATCACCACTGACTCCACGGAAATACGAACTACCATCATAGAATATTATAAACACCTCTATGCAAATAAACTAGAAAATCTAGAAGAAATGGATAAATTCCTGGACACATACACCCTCCAAATCTAAACTGGGAAGAAGTCGAATCCCTGAATAGACCAATAACAAGTTCTGAAATTCAGGCGGTAATTAATATCCTACCAACCAAAAAAAGTCTGGGACCACATGGATTAACAGCTGAATTCTACCAGGAATACAAAGAAGAGCTGGTACGATGCCTTCTGAAACTACTCCAAACAATCAAAAAGGAGGTACTCCTCCCTAACTCATTTTATGAAGAGAGCATCACCCTAATACCAAAACCGGGCAGAGACACAACAAAAAAAGAAAACTTCAGGCCAATATCCCTGATGAACATCAATACCAAAATCCTCAATAAAATACTGACAAACTGAATCTAGCACCATATCAACAAACTTATTCACCCCAATCAAGTTGGCTTCATCCCTTGGATTCAATGTTGTTTCAACATATGCAAATAAATAAACATAATCCATCACATAAACAGAACAAAAGGCAAAGACCACATGATTATCTCAATAGATGCAGAAAAGGCCTTTGATATAATTCAACATCTCTCATGTGAAAAACTCTCAATAAACTGGGTATTAATGGAACATATCTCAAAATAATAAGGGCTATTTATGACAATCCCACAGCCAATATTATATTGAATGGGCAAAAGCTGGAACATTCCCTTTGAAAACTGGTACAAGACAAGGATGCCCTCTCTCACCACTCCTATTCAACACAGTATTGGAAGTTCTGGCCAGGGCAATCAGGCAAGATAAACAAATAAAGCATATGCAAATAGGAAGACAGGAATTCACATTGTCTCTGTTTGGAGAAAACATGATTGTATATTTAGAAAACCCCATCATCTCAGCCCCAAAACTCCTTAAGCTGATAAGAACTTCAGTAAAGTGCCAGGATACAAAATCCATGTGCAAAAATCACAAGCATTTATTTATACCAACAGTAGACAGGCAGAGAGCCAAATCACGGATGAACTCCCATTCACAAATGCTACAAAGAGAATAAAATATCTAGGAATACAGCTAATAGGGGATGTGAAGGACCTCTTCAGGGAGCACTACAAACCACTGCTCAAGGAAATAAGAGTGGACACAAACAAATGAAAACCACTCCATTTTCATGGCTAGGAAGAATAAATATCATAGAAATGGCCATACTGCCCAAGGTATTTTATAGATTCAGTGCTACTCCCATCAAACTACCATTGACATTTTCACAGAATTAGGGAAAAAACTACTTTAAATGTCCTATGGAATCAAAGAAGAGCCCATATTGCCAAGACAATCCTAAGGAAAAAGAACAAAGCTAGAGGCATCACGCTACCTGACCTCAAACTCTACTACAATGCTATGGTAACCAAAACAGCATGATACTTGTATCAAAACAGATACATAGGCCAATGGAACAGAACAGAGACCTCAGAAATAACACCACACATCTACAATGATCTGGTCTTCACCAAACCTAATACAAACAAGCAATGGGGAAAAGATCTCCTTTTCAATAAATGGTGCTGGGAAAACTGGCTAGCCATATGCAGAAAACTGAAACTGTACCCCTTCCTTACAACTTACACAAAAATTAACTCAAGATGGATTAAAGACTTCAATGTAAAACCCAAAACCATAAAATCCCTAGAGGAAAACCTAGGCAATACCATTCAGGACATAGACATGGGCAAAGACTTCGTGATGAAAATGCCAAAAGCAATTGCAACAAAAGCCAAAATTGACAAATGGGATCTAATCAAACTAAAAAGCTTCTGCACAGTAAAAGAAACTAGCTTCAGAATGAACAGGCAACCTAGAGAATGGGAGAAAAATTTTGCAATCTACCCATGTCTAATATCCAAAATTTACAAGGCACTTAAACAAATTTGCAAGAACAAAACAAACAACCTGTCAAAAAGTGGACAAAGAATATGAACAGATGCTTCTCAAAAGAAGATATTTATGTGGCCAACAAACATGAAAAAAAGCTCAACATCACTGATTATTAGAGAACTGCAAATCAAAACCACAATGAGATACCATCTCAAACCAGTCAGAATGGCAATTATTAAAAAGTCAAGAAAGCCTCACAGCTGGTGAGGCTGTGGAGAAATAGGAACACTTTCACAGTGTTGGTGGGAATGTAAATTAGTAAAATGATTGTGGAAGACAGCATGGTGATTCCTCAGGGATCTAGAACCAGAAATACCGTTTAACACAGCAATCTCATTACTGAGTATATACCCAAAGGAATATAAATCATTCTACTACAAAGACACAAGCACACATATGTTTATTGGAGCACTATTTACAATAGCAAAGTAATGGAACCAACCCAAATGTCCATCAGTGATAGACTGGATAAAGAAAATGTGGTACATATACACCAGGGAATATTATGCAGCCATAAAAAGAAATGAGATTATGTCCTTTGCAGGGACATGGATGAAGCTGGAAGCCATCATCATCAGCAAACTAACATAGAAACATAAAATCAAACACCACATGTTCTCACTCATAAGTGGGAGTCGAACAATGAGAACACATGGACACAGGCAGTGGAACAACACAACCCAGGGCCTGTTGCCAGGTGGGAGGCGAGCAGAGGGAATTTATAGGACTAGTCAATAGGAGCAACAAACCACCATGGCACACGTATGCTTATGTAACAAACCTGCACATTTTGCACATGTATCCTGCAACTAAAAGTAAAATAAAATAAAATAAAATAAAACACACTGGCTAACAGTTTTTAACAGTGGTTGCATGCTTTACACACCCAAATACTATCTATGAGACATCTAATTTCTTGACATCCTCTCCATTATTTGATGGTGTCCATTTTCTCATTTTATCAGCCTAATATTATGGTGTCTGTGTAGGGATAATACTTGTGATTTTAATTTGCATTTCTTCGATGACTTATAATGTTGAGCAAATTTTCTTATTTGCTTGTGAAGTGTCTGTTCAATGCTTTGCTCATGATATATTAGGTTATTTATTTTTATTATTGAGTTGGAAGAGGCCATTATATATCCTGGAATCAAGTGCTTTTTTTTTTTTTTAACGAGACATGGAGTTTTATTAAGGGCTTAATACAGGGGAGAGAGTCCAGTGGTGGTTGGCTGGACAGGAGAACCACCTTATGTACAGACAGAAATGGTCTAGTGGCAGCTAGATGGACAAGGTAACCACCGGCTCAGTGGCAGCAAGCTGGTCGGGAAAACCACAGCTGCCTGCAGACATCATGCACTTTATATGGCATTTCACTTAACACCTGCCCTAACGACCTCCACCTGGTAACCTTCATTTAACCTGAAACTCAGCACCTCAATCCCCTATACAGCCTGTGTTCCAGGGAACAGGAAGGGAAGGAACAAGACTGCTGGATGGGATGGGATGGGATGGTGGGAGAGTAGCTCAGATGTTCCTCATAGATAAGGAAAGACTATCCTGATAGCAATAATTTAAGCATACCCTTAGAATGACCCTCTAGGGCAGATGCACCTGAATGTGTGTTCCAAGGTAGGAAACTGGACATGATCAAGTGCTTTTTTAGACATATGTGTTGCAAAGGTTTTCTCCCTGTGACATGCATATTTATTTACTTAATGGTGGATTTTGTTTTGCAGAAGTACTTAATTTTGGTAAAGTATAATTGCTGATCTTCTGAATTTTTTTCTGTTATCATTTCTGTGGAATCTTTATTTATCCCAAATATACATATATATGTCCAATATTTTATTACAGAAGCTTTTTAGTTTCGGTTTTATATTTAGCACAATTATTCATTTCAAATTAATATTCATGTATAGTGTAAGGTAGGGGTCAAATTTATTTTTTTTGTTTTAATTGTTTTTACTCAAGACAGATACGTAACTGCACCAGTATCACTTACTGAGGGATTATTCTATTTTTACTGAATCACTGTGGCAAGTTTATTCAATTTTAACTGTTTTTTTTGTGTGTGTAGATACGGGTCTTGACCCTCTGTTGGGTGTTAATGATCTATTTGTCTGTTTTTTCTCTTAAACAACAGTGCTTTTATTACTGTATCTAAACAATAAGTATATAAGTAAGGTTCTGTTAGATCAACTTTGTTCTTATTTTCAAGATCACTTTGTTCCTTTTAGGTCATTTGGGTTTTCAGATATTTTAGCACCACGTTGTCAAAATCTATTAAAAGGTCTGCTGAAAGAGTCTTCACTCTATAGGTGAAGTGTTGGCAACAACTGTCTAAAGATCAAACTTGATCTCAGTGTTAATAAAGTTTTATTGAAACAGAACTATGCCCATTTATTACATATTATCTGGTTTGGGGCCAGATAATGGCTGGTTTTGTGCTACAATGGTTTAGGGGAATAATTGTGACAGAAACCATATTTTCTAAGTTAATTTGGAGAAATACACATCCTAAATGAGTTTTCAAAACCAATACTTTTAAATTTCATTTCTTTAGATACTCTAATTTATTAAAGTTTTATAATTCAGTGTAGAATTATTGAATATTTGTTGAATGCAACCATATATATATATACATATTTGTTTAAGTACATATATTTATACATTTATATGTACATATATTTTGTTTTATATATGATTTTGTTATATTTTAGTTTCTAATTATTTATATACTATGCAAAAATACAATTAAATTTTATATTTTGATTGTGCACCTACACTATTACTGAATTCATTTATTAGTGTTAGTTGTGTTTTGGGGTGTTTGTGGGTTTTCTTCTTTTATATATTTCTTAAAATTTCTAAGTACATAATTAGGAATTTAAAAAATAAAAGTATTTTTCTTTCCTTCTTTCTATTCCATATACCCTTTTTCTTTCTTCTTCTTTTTTTTTTTTTTTTTTTTTTTTTTGCCTTCTTGTGCTAACCAGGCCTTCAATAAAATATTGAATTACTCTGGTAAGACTGGAACACCTTGTCTTCTTCCTTATCTTTGGGGGAAAGTGGTCTCTGTTTCACTATTAGGCATAATGCTAGCTGCAACTGCAGGGTCTTTTGGTTTTCTCGTGTTTTATATTTAATTTTTAAGGATAAAAATATATCACTATTCCTACTTTATTAAGAGATTTTATCATGAATGGTTGGCGAATTTTCTCAAATGTCTTCCTGCATCTTTTGCAGTTGTCATATAATGTTCCTCCTTTTTATTAAGGGAATAAATTAACTCATTTATATAGAATGATTTTTTTCATGTTAATACAAGTTTATCTTGCTCTGATTTTAACTTGTTTTTCTTCATGTAGCCTGTGTGTGTGTGTGAGAGAGAGACAGAGAGAGAGAAGAAGAAGAAGAGGAAGAAGAAGAAGAAGAAGAAGAAGAAGAAGAAGAAGAAGAAGAAGAAGAAGAAGAACAAGAAGAAGAAGAGGAAGAGGAAGAGGAAGAGGAAGAGAGGAACAGAGAAAGAGAGAGAGAGAGGGAGAGAGGGAGACTTGCTATGTTACCCAGACTTAAGTGCAGTCATGTGATCATAGCTCACTGCAGCCTGAAATTCCTGGGCTCAAGTGATCCAGTTGCCCCAGCCTCCGAGGTGACTAGGAACACAGGCACACACCACTATGCCCCGCTAATTTTTAATTTTTTTTGTAGAGACAGTGTTTCACTGTGTTGCCCAGGTTTGTCATGTCATGTAGCTTTAGAATGTGAAAATTTATATCACTGAATTTACATCTTTTTCCTTTACTCTTTTTGCATTTAATGCTATAAAACTAAGCACCAATTAACTCATGACATAAATTTCAATAAGTTGTGTTTTCATCATTCAATTCCAAATATTTTCTTAATTGTTTTAAGATGTTTTTCCTTAAGCCATAATCTATTTAGATATGTATAATTAGTACACAAAGTCCTAATTATGTACTTAGAAATGTATGTATATATTTTCTAGATATATCACAGTTATTAATAATTTAATGTTGCTGTTCTTCAAAAACATACTCTATTCAGTATCTACTATAACAAAACTTTTGATTTATTTTATGTCCTAGTATATGGTTTACGTCACTGAATGTTTCATTTACATTTGAGAAGGAAGTGTATTCTACAACCAATACATGTGGTATTTTATAAATATCAATTAGATCAAATTGGTTAGTAGTGTTCTTCAAATCTTCCATACATATCTCACTGATTTTTTGGCCTAACTCTTTTATCATTTACTAAAATAGTCATACCAAAGACTCTCCCATTACTAATTTATAACTAGGTTTTCTTAAATAAAGAATTGTTATCTTTGCTACATATTTATGTTTCATGCATTTTCCATTACTTTCCTCAGAATCAGTGTTCTATATGTTAACTCTTCTCTTCAGTCTAAAGAAAACCTTTCAACACTTTTTAATTTGCCAGGTCTGCTGGGAGTAATTTATTTCAGATTTTTCCTGAAATGCCTTCATTTATTGATTCTTCCTCTGGTGTTTCTGAATAAATCTTCACGTCTAATGTGTGATCTTTTTTATTCTGTCACTTCCATTCAGCATTTTGAAAATGATCATATCTGCTGAAAAGCATCATTTGTTCTTACTTGTTACTCACCTTCGTTTCTAGATTCTTTAAGATATTTATGATAGTTACTTTAAAATCACTTTCTGATAATTTTGACTGCTCATCATTTCTAGATCTGATAGTATTGACTACTTTTTCTCTTAACGATCATAATATGGTCTTGCATTTTATAAAGCTTCACTGAATGTCTGATATTGTGTGCAAAAGAAAACAAAAGTGATGTAAATAATAGCATTTTCCATAAAAATTCAGTTCTTTCCATAGTCAGGTAATTAGTATAGGCCTCAGGGGTAAAAGGCCACTGTCTGATGCTCCGTATAAGGCTCAGATTGCCTATTAGCTTTATCTTTGTTCCTTCACATACTATCTCAGATTTCATCAGACCCTATGCTGCCTCACTGGTAGCAAATTTCTCTAATTTCTCCTGTTCCAATTCCTACAACAGATAATCATTCCCTTCATTAAAATTGCAGCTGTTTTTTTTCTTACAAGCATTGTATTTGTCCATTCTCACACTGCTATTAAGAACTTCCTGAGACTGAGAAATTAATAAAGATAAGAAAGATGTATAATTAACTCATAGTTCCACATGCCATACAGGAGGCATGGCTGGGCAGCCTCAGGAGACTTACAATCATGGCAGAAGGGTGAAGGGGAAGCAAGCCCATCTTCACACGGCATCAGGAGAGTGAAAGGGGAAGTGTTATACACTTTTAAACAACCAGATTTCATGAGAACTCAGTCAGCTCAGTCATGAGAAGAGTAAGGGATAAATCTGCCCCCAATATCCAATCATCTCCCACCAAGTCCCTTCCCTGACATTAGGGATTACAATTCAACACAAGATTTGGGTGGGGACAGAGAGCCAAACAATATCAGGCACCTAACATAGCTTCTTTCTCCTCCCACTATTCTTTCAAAGACTAAATCCACCACGGAACTTATTTAGCAGAAGCTTGTCACATTTTTAGATTTTAGTTCATTAGGTTTAAATTCTGACCTCAGTTTTGTAATGGCTGAAAGTAACTATGGTTTTCAGTAATATTTGTGTTTACTCATTATTTGTTTCAAGTGGTATTTTCTACTGATTTCTCACCGGGCTAGTACTATTTCAATATGGCATTTAGAAATCAGGTGTTAAGTTAGCCTTTCTCTTCTGTAAATTAAAATATTTGTGAAATTATGGAAATGAGAAAAAAGCAACTATTGAAACTACAGTGAAGATCAATTTATCAATACTTCTGCTACAGCAGTCACTGTGGGGAACAACTTATTTTGTCCTGATATTTATAGTTTTCTTGGGTAAAGTGATAGAAATTTGAGAGAAAAAAGAAAAGTCTGTATAGCAGGTATATTGAAGATTATAGGCTTATACTTTTTCAGAGAAACAGACAAAATGTATTCCAAAATGAATAGAAACTGATAAGAATACAGTTAACAAGAAGTGGGCTAGTTTACGTAAACACATACTCCTCTTTAGAAGGGCAAATAGGAAGAAATATGATGGAATTTACACATTGGAGGTCATTTCATGGAAAATCCGTATACTTTGTCAAATACGTATTAATCTAGCTACACTTATTATATACTATGTATGTACGAAAACAAGGAAACTATAAATCAACTAAATTAAATATCTTGGGGGAGCCAGGCCATATATTGCAAAAGGAATTTGCTATAATAATCAGAAGATAACTTAGAAAGTGGATTAAAGTTTTGTAATAAAAACTTTATATATATATAATATTATATATATAAAACTTTATATATATTATATTATATATAAAACTTTATATATATTATATTATATATAAAACTTTATATAATATATTATATATGAAACTTTATATATATTATACATATACAACTTTATATATAATATACATTATATATTATATATAAAACATATATATAATATATAATATATAAAACTTTATATATATTATATATATAAAACTTTATATAATAAATTAATTTTCTACTTGAATATTATGGATTATGAGGAGAAAAGAGAGACAAAAAGAAAAAAATAGAATATAAAAGATAGTTCATTATGATAACGAAGAATGAAAATTATTTAGAAATAAAAAACTGTATTAAACTCTTTATTGGAGAAAGTTGGAAGCAGCATCTTAGCTATAAAAAATTAAATCATATATACACTGACCATTGGAAACAAAGAAAGTGAGAAAACAAAATGATTAACATGGAGAAAATTAAGCAAATATTAACTTTCAAGATAAAAATTTTCTTAAAGGTAAAAGATAAAATAATTGCAATAGAAAGAAAATAAATAATAAGTTAATAAGTTGAAACAATTGCATATAAAGCTTAAAAAATTTTATTTATTTTTAATAAATTAAAAATAAATAAAATTTTTATTATTTGTAATAAAACCGTACTTTATTCTAGAAAAAATTGTAAAAATACAAAAAAAGAAAATAAGAATTATTCTTGTTCTCATCACCCCTAATTATTGTATCTCTTTTCAGCCACACCTTTTTAAAAAATTATAATCATATCAAACACTTTATTTCCAAATATAGTTATTGCTTCTTGTAATTCTAAAATTCATAAGCTCTATGGTAAAGACATTATTTTGTCTACTATTCAGAACCTAAAACAGTAACTTTTGTATAGTAGATGTTCCCTAAACATTTTCTTCTTTTTTTTCCTTAACACTTCTGAATGAGTAAATAAATCAATACATATTCATTGGTTAAAAAACTGTTAGAAATAAATGAAAACACAAAGAATAAAAGTCTTCTATAGTCACATTGCAGTGATAACCAATGTCAATTTTATATATACATATATATATCTGCCCAGATTTTTTAATTACATATGTGTATGTATTTAAAATGAGATATCTTGTATACACCAAAATACATATTTAATGTGGTTTCAGTTATTCTTCAGTCTTTTTCTGTAAGCACGTTTTTTCAGAAATTCTCAAAGCCCAGCCTGGGTTTGAGAAGGGAGATGTTTATCTTGGAACCATGGCAAAGGCAAGGCCACAAAATTTGAAGAGCCAAACAAAGACCATTGAATGAGCTTATCCACCTTCCTCTAATCTTACACATGCTTGAAAAAGACCTCTGGTGTTTTCTTAAGATCACAGCTAAGTTTTATCAAAAGAAAAGCACAAACAGGAGAGTGTTGCAACAACTATTAATTACGTATTAAACTGGTTATTTTCTTTATAAATACATTACTTTCTATTTAGAACACCTGGTATTATATAATAAATTCATTTTCTTATATAAGATTTTTACTTTGCATACCTCAAATAATTGTTTAAGAATATGATGTAATGCTTTATTTGAAAGACATGAAAATTTAATTTAGTTTTACATAATGAGTATTTCTTCCAAGAAAGGAACTTTATAAGATTTTCCATAGGAAATGGCTTACGCATTTTGTATCATCAGATACCGGCCTATTTTAATGTTTTCCTAGTGTAATAATTTTGTAGTGATCATAAAATATGTTACCCTAAATATTCTTTATTGTAAAAAGATTTTCTTTAGCTCTAGATCCACATAGCACCTAAAGCATCTGATAACACAGTGACTGATTGAATCTGATCTGAATTATAGTATTATGATCAAATGCACTGTGCATCTGACAAGTACACCAAAGAATGCATTGCAATGTGAAGCCAGAAGAGATATTAAATCCATGATTTAACTATCTACAATTTATGCTCATAAGATTTATATCTTAACTATCCTTAAATAAAAACAGCCATACTGATGGTAGTAAAAAGGGTTTCCTATTTAAGTGTGAATCAGAGAAGACAGTAAAATGAAGTAGAAATCATTTCAGCTCTTTTCTCACAGTACATCACCTTGAGAGGTAATGTAATGATTTTCATGAAGTACCAGAATGTTTTATATGTAGCCTCTCTAGAAATTGAACTGTTAAATCATGTACGACTAAATGAACCCTAATTAATTTATGTCACAGAACATTAATCAAAAACATGCCCATGTATAAGCTGGTATATATCTCTAAAATAAAACAGAATGAAAAGTGCAATTTGGAAAAGTAATAAGTTTAATTAATACACATTTTAGAATACACAGGGTAATGTGTATATTTCTTTTATAGATAAGGACATTACAGTAAACATATAAACTATTTTTTATATCTGGGCACTATTTATATCTGGGTTGGGTAAGAAGGATTTTACCTTCCATTAAGGGAAAGTCTATAAATCATAAAGATATAAAATAAGTCCTCTAAGGTAATTCAGGCAGGTCATAGAGAGTTAGTGTACTTGTATTTCAAATTTAAATCTAATTACAGTATATAGTAGTCTGTATTAGTCCTTTGTTAGCAAAGAATACTCTTCGAGCTATTTTCTGAATAAATGTGCTATCTGAGTACATGTGCAAACTTCATATATAATTTCTACATAAGAAATTATAGCAGGCCAAGAAGTATTTTCTCTAAATAAATGAAATAATGTCTGTACCAAGTAAATGACCTTTCTTTAGTTTTTTCATATTTTATTATCCAAGACCTTCTCATATACTTTCTACCTATCTTTGCATTATTTATTTTGGTAGAAACATTTCTATAGAAATATACCACTCTAGATTTACAGCGATGCTTGTAATTTAATTATCATTGTCTACAAATTCTGACCTGCTCATAAGTAATGTAATAATTGAATATATTTAACCCCAATATTATTTAAACAGTTGAAGTAATTACCATATGCTTAAGACCTACTTTTTTCGTCTACTGGGGCAAAATGATCTCGACATTTACTTTTAAAAAGTTATGTTACTTTGAAATAATTATCGGCATGTAACAATACTCAAGTTTCCAGTTTTTAAAAACAAATCTCTCTCTGAAGTAGTATCTCAGTTCCTCTAAAAGTAAGCATGAAAATCTCAGGTTAGAAAAACTTAAAACTTATTTCATGCAGTATTATTGCCAATACATGTGTACACGTGTGTGTGTGTGTGTGTGTGTGTGTGTGTGATGCATGTTTTAATAGAAAACATACAAAGATATCTGGTGTTAAACATGATATATGGTTATCGTAGTTAACCCTTTCAGGAGGTAAAAAATGAAATGACTTGTCTTTATAAATACTTGTTTATTGACATGTCACATATCTGAAATTTCAGCATTAAAAATATTCTTTATGTGACTTAAATTATTGGGTCTTCCAAAACCCTTTTTAAAATAGAATTGATTTACTTGGTTTACCTCAGCTCCCCAACATGGTAACATAAATGTATTTCATGAAAATTAGCATGGTTTAACGCTTTTCTAAAATCTAGTTTTAAATAGCAGGTTCTTGATACATGGTTGAATGGATAGATACATTTGATAACAAACATTAGGAATCTGAAAGACATTCCAAGGTCATGGTGACAGAATGTCGTTATAGTAATGAGAATATCAAGAAACATAATTAAAACCCAAGCTTTGTTTTAAGAAACAAGATGAATAAATTAGGATATGTTTGTTCCTTATTTTCTACATAATGCATATATGCATATAAGCCTACTTGTGGATGCATGTATACACACATGTAGATATATGCACTGACTTTCTAAAAATAAAAAAAATTATTCTACCTAAATATACAAAATAAAGGACAGTGATATTCAACAGGCGATCTGATTGTTTTATGTGTTTATCAATTAAAAATGTTGTGTTTCTTTACATCAGAATACTATAAGTTAACTTTAATTAACGGTTAGATTATTATTCAAAAATGACGAAAACCACTTTAAAAGAAGGTACTCATACATGAATTACTCTATCAGTTCATACACAGAAATTATACTTAAGATTTTCAATATTTATTTGTAGTTATTCTTTTTAAGGAACATTTTGTTTTTAGTCACCTTTTAGTTTTACATTTCTTATCTATTCCAGTTTTCTAAATTATAATATAAATGTGCGTGTGTGTGTGTGTGTGTGTGTGTGTGTGTATAATGTATTCTCTCTGTTCCAATACCCCTAAAAAATTCAAGTTCCATGTTTGTTGGAAGTGTCTTTTTTCTCTCTGTTTTATCTATAGGGCCTAAAATATAGGGTTGGAATATAGGGGCCACTTAGAAAACATATGTCGAAAGGTTGAAAGAGTAAAAAAATGAATACAAATGGCTGATCTTTATTTGAATTATATCACAAATAGATCTTGATCTCTTTACAAGATATAAAATGTATTATTTCTATACACCTATACTTGCATCTTTCATATTTCTGCAGAGATACATTACATAAATATCAATGAAATATTTGTATATTATACTAGGAAAAATACAATTTGACTAAATTTTATTAAAGCATGTATATTTTTTTCTATCTAAAATATCAGGTGTTAATAAAACACTTTTAATTTTAGAAAATTTTCCTCACATCAATACAGTTACATCATTGAGCATGTATGCTGTGGTCCTATGAAGACATTAAAATGTGATGAGGTAATCCAGCCCACATGAAAAAGAGTTTGTGAATATATAAAACAGGTTTTGATAGTTGATGCTTAACCTCATGAATTAGTAGTCTTGTCACTTATATAAAATTTTTGTAGAAAGAATAAGCATCAAGACAAATAGTTTATATGAAAAATCAATACACACAAAAAAAGCACCTTTGGACCAGGTGCATAATGACGTGAAAGTAATTTAAGACCAGATCTTAAGGTTTCAAGTTTTCCCACCATTAATTTTGTAGGAAATTTTCATTTTTCTTAGTAATACTAGTCAGTATCCGGGTGATTTCTGCATGTCCAACTGAGGTATCGGGTTCATCTCAATGGGGCTTGTCAGACAGTGGGTGCAGCCCATGGAGCAGGGCAGGGCATCGCCTCACCTGGGAAGCTCAAGGGGTCAGGGAATTCCCTTTCCTAGCAAAGGGAACCCATGACAGAGGGTACCTGGAAAATCGGGACACTACCAATGCCCTTAGCAAATGGCACACCAGGAGATTATATCCCACGCCTGGCTCAGAGGGTCCCACACCCACGGAGCCTTGCTCACTGCTAGCACAGCAGCCTGAGATCAAACTGTGAGGTGGCAGCGTGGCTGGGGGAGGGGCATCCGCCATTGCTGAGGCTTGAGTAGGTAAACAAAGTGGCCAGGAAGCTCAAACTGGGTGGAGCCCACCACAGCTCAAGGAGGCATGCCTGCCTCTGTAGACTCCACCTCTGGGGGCAGGTCATAGCTAAACAAAAGGCAACAGAAACTTCTGCAGACTTAAACGTCCCTGTCTGACAGCTTTGAAGAGAATAGTGCTTCTCCCAGCATGGAGTCTGAAATCTGAGAACGGACAGACTGCCTCCTCAAGTGGGTCACTGACCCCCAAGTAGCATAACTTGGAGACACCTCCCAGTAGGGGCCGACTGACACCTCATACAGCCGGGTGCCCCTCTGAGACAAAGCTTCCAGAGGAAGGATCAGGCAGAAACATTTGCCTTTTTGCAATATTTGTGGTTCTGCAGCCTCTGCTGGTGATACCCAGGCAAACAGGGTCTGGAGTGGAACTCCAGCAAACTCCAACAGACCTGCAGCTGAGGGTCCTGACTGTTAGAAGGAAAACTAACAAACAGAAAGGACATCCACACCAAAACCCGATCTGTACATCACCATCATCAAAGACCAAAGATAGATAAAACCACAAAGGTGGGGAGAAACCAGAGCAGAAAAGCTGAAAATTCTAAAAATCAGCACACATCTTCTCCTCCAAAGGAACGCAGCTCCTTCCCAGCAAAGAAACAAAGCTGGATGGAGAATGAATTTGATAAGTTGAGAGAAAAAGGCTTCAGACGATCAGTAATAACAAACTTCTCTGAGCTAAAGGACGAAGTTCGAACTCATCGCAAAGAAGCTAAAAACCTTGAAAAAAGATTAGATGAATGGCTAACTAAAATAAACAGTGTAGAGACGTCCTTAAATGACTGGATGGAGCTGAAAATCATGGCACGAGAACTAAAGGATGCATGCACAATCTTCAGTAGCCAATTTGATCAAGTGGAAGAAAGGGTATCAGTGATTGAAGATCAAATGAATGAAATGAAGCGAGAAGAGAAGTTTAGAGAAAAAAGAGTAAAAAGAAATGAACAAAGCCTCCAAGAAATATGGGACTATGTGAAAAGACCAAATCTACATTTGATTGGTGTACATCAAAGTGACGGGGAGAATGGAACCAAGTTGGAAAACACTCTACAGGATATTATCCAGGAGAACTTCCCCAACCTAGCAAAGCAAGCCAACATTCAAATTCAGGAAACACAGAGAACACCACAAAGTTACTCCTCAAGAAGAGCAACTCCAAGACACATAATTGTCAGATTCACCAAAGTTGAAATGAAGGAAAAAATGTTAAGGTAGCCAGAGAGAAAGGTCGGGTTACCCACAAAGGGAAGCCCATCAGACTAACAGCAGATCTCTCGGCAGAAACTCTACAAGCCAGAAGAGAGTGGGGGCCAAAATTCAACATTGTTAAAGAAAACAATTTTCAACCCAGAATTTCATATCCAGCCAATCTAAGCTTCATAAGTGAAGGAGAAATAAAATCTTTTAAAAAAATGCTGAGAGATTTTGTCAACACCAGGCCTGCCTCACGAGAGCTCCTGAAGGAAGCACTAACCATGGAAAGGAACAACTGGTACCAGCCACTGCAAAAACTTGCCAAATCGTAAAGAACATCAATGCCAGGAAGAAACTGCATCAACTAATGAGCAAAATAACAAGCTAACATCATAATGACAGGATCAAATTCACACATAACAATATTAACCTTAAATGTAAATGGGCTAAACCCTCGAATTAAAAGACACAGACTGGCAAATTGGATAAAGAGTCATGACTCATCAGTGTGCTGTATTCAGGAGACCCATCTCCGGTGCTGAGACACACATAGGCTCAACATAAAAGGATGGAGGAAGATCTACCAAGCAAATGGAAAACAAAACAAAACAAAAAAACCCAGGGGTTCCAATCCTAGTCTCTGATAAATCAGACTTTAAACCAACAAAGATCAAAAGAGACAAAGAAGGACATTACATAATGGTAAAGGGATCAATTCAACAAGAACAGCTAACTACCCTAAATATATATATATATGCCTCCAATCCAGGAGCACCCAGATTCATAAAGCAAGTTCTTAGAGATCTACAAAGAGACTTAGACTCCCACACAATAATAATGGGAGACTTTCCACTGTCAACATTAGACAGATCAATGAGACAGAAAGTTAACAAGGACATCCAGGAATTGAACTCAGCTCTGAACCCAGCAGACCTAATAGACATCTACAGAACTCTCCACCCCAAATCAACAGAATATACATTCTTCTCAGCACCACATCACACTTATTACAGAATTGACCACATAGTAGGAAGTAAAGCACTCCTGAGCAAATGTAAAAGAACAGAAATTTTAACAAACTGTCTCTCAGACCACAGTGCAATCAAACTAGAACTCAGGATTAAGAAGCTCACTCAAAACCACTCAACTACATGGAAACTGTACAACCTGCTCCTGAATGACAACTGGGTAAAGAACGAAATGAAGGCAGAAATAGAGATGTTCGTTGAAACCAATGAGAAAAAAGATACAACATACCACAATCTCCGGGACACATTTAAAGCAGTGTGTAGAGGGAAATTTATAGTACTAAATGTCCACAAGAGAAAGCAGGAAAGATCTAAAATTGACACCCTAACATCACAATTAAAAGAACTAGAGAAGCAAGAGCAAACACATTCAAAAGCTAGCAGAAGGCAAGAAATAACTAAGATTAGAGCAGAACTGAAGGAGATAGAGACACAAAAAACCCTTCAAAAAATCAATGAATCCAGGAGCTGGGTTTTTTAAAAGATCAACAAAATTGATAGACCACTAGCAAAACTAATAAAGAAGAAAAGAGAGAAGAATCAAATAGATGCAATAAAAATGATAAAGGGGAGATCACCACCTATCCCATAGAAATACAAACTACCATCAGAGAATAATATAAGCACCTCTACGGAAATAAACTAGAAAATCTAGAAGAAATGGATAAATGTCTGGACACATATACCCTCCCAAGACTAAACCACGAAGAACTTGAATCCCTGAATAGACCAATAACAGGTTCTGAAATTCAGGCAATTATTAATAGCCTACCAACCAAAAAAAGTCCAGAATCAGATGGATTCACAGCCAAATTCTACCAGAGGTACAAAAAGGAGCTGGTACCATTTCTTCTGAAAGTATTCCAATCAATAGAAAAAGAGGGAATCCTCCGTCCCTAATTCATTTTATGAGGCCAACATCACCCTGATACCAAAGCCTGGCAGAGACACAACAAAAAAAAGAGAATTTTAGACCAATATCCTTGATGAACATTGATGCAAAATCATCAATAAAATACTAGCAAACCGAATCCAGCAGCACATTAAGAAGTTTATCCACCATGATCAAGTTGGCATCATCCCTGGGATGCAAGCCTGGTTCAACATATGCAAATCAATATATGTAATCCATCATATAAACAGAACAAAAGAAAAAAACCATATGATTATCTCAATAGATGCAGAAAAGGCCTTTGACAAAATTCAACAGCCCTTCATGATAAAAACTCTCAATAAACTAGGTATTGATGGGACATATCTCAAATAATAAGAACTATTTATGACAAACCCATAGCCAATATCATACTGAATGGGCAAAAACTGGAAGCATTCCCTTTGAAAACCGGCACAAAACAGGATGCCCTCTCTCACCACTACTATTCAACATAGTGGTGGATGTTCCGGCTAGGGCAATCAGGCAGGAGAAAGAAATAAAGGGTATTCAATTAGGAAAAGAGGAAGCCAAATTGTCCCTGTTTGCAGATGACATGAATGTATATTTAAAAATCCCCATCGTCTCAGTCCAAAATCTCCTTAAGCTGATAAGCAACTTCAGCAAAGTCTCAGGATACAAAATCAATGTGCAAAAATCACAAGCATTCCTATACACTAATAACAGACAAACAGAGAGCCAAATCATGAGTGAACTCCCATTCACAATTGCTTCAAAGAGAATAAAATACCTAGGAATCCAACTTACAAGGGATGTGAAGGACCTCTTCAAGGAGAACTACAAACCACTGCTCAACGAAATAAAAGAGGACACAAACAAATGGAAGAACATTCCATGCTCATGGATAGGAAGAATCAATATCATGAAAATGGCCATACTGCCCAAGGTAATTTATAGATTCAATGCCATCCCCATCAAGCTACCAATGACTTTCTTCACAGAATTGGAGAAAACTGCTTTAAAGTTCATATGGAACCAAAAAAGAGCCTGCATTGCCAAGACAATCCTAAGCCAAAAGAACAAAGCTGGAGGTATCACACTACCTGACTTCAAACTGTACTACAAGGCTACAGTAGCCAAAACAGCATGGTACTGGTACCAAAACAGCATGGTACTGGTACCAAAACAGAGATATAGACCAGTGGAACAGAATAGAGCCCTTGGAAATAATACCATACACCTACAACCATCTGATCTTCGAAAAACCTGACAAAAACAAGTAACAGAGTAAGGATTCTCTATTTAATAAATGGTGCTGGGAATACTGGCTGGCCATATGTAGAAAGCTGAAACTGGATCCCTTCCACACACCTTATAGAAAAATTAATTCAAGATGGATTAAAGACTTAAATGTTAGACCTAAAACCATAAAAACCCTAGAAGAAAACCTAGGCAAATCCATTCAGGCCATAGGCATGGGCAAGGACTTCATGACTAAAACACCAAAAGCAATGGCAACAAAAGCCAAAATTGACAAATGGGATCTAATTAAATTAAAGAGTTTCTACATAGCAAAAGAAACTACCATCACAGTGAACAGGCAACCTATAGAATGGGAGAAAATTTTTACAATCTTCTCATCTGACAAAGGGCTAATATCCAGAGTCTACAAAGAACTTAAACAAATTTACAAGAAAAAATCAAACAACCCCATCAAATAGTGGGCAAAGAATATGAACAGACACTTCTCAAAAGAAGACATTTATGCAACCAACAGACACATGAAAAAATGTTCATCATCACTGGCCATCAGAGAAATGCCAATCAAACCACAATGAGATACCATCTCACACCAGTTAGAATGGCGATCATTAAAAAGTCAGGAAACAACAGGTGCTGGAGAGGATGTGGAGAAATAGGAACGCTTTTACACTGTTGGTGTGACTGTAAACTAGTTTAACCATTGTGGAAGACAGTGTGGCGATTCCTCAAGGATCTAGAACTAGTAATATCACTTGACCCAGCCATCCCATTACTGGGCATATACCCAAAGGATTATAAATCATGCTGCTATAAAGACACATGCACACGTATGTTTATTGCAGCACTATTCACAATAGCAAAGACTTGGAACCAACCCAAATGTCCATCAATAATACACTGGTTTAAGAAAATGTGGCACATATACACCATGTAATACTATGCAGCCATAAAAAAGAATGAGTTCATGTCCTTTGTAGGGACATGGATGAAGCTGGAAACCATCATTCTGAGCAAACTATTGCAAGGACAGAAAACCAAACACTGCATGTTCTCACTCATAGGTGGGAATTGAATAATGAGGACACTTGGACACAGAGTGGGGAACATCACACACCAGGGCCTGTCATGGGGTGGGGGGAGGAGGGAGGGATAGCATTAGGAGATATACCTAATGTAAATGATGAGTTAACGGGTGGAGCACACCAACATGGCACATATATACATATATATCAAACCTGCACATTGTGCACATGTACCCTAGAACTTAAAGTATAATAATAATTTTTTAAAAAACTAACACTACTCAGTATCTCATTGAAATCTTCTAAAAACTAAATCAGGCAGTACTCTGTGATCTCTATTTCTGTGTTAATAAGTCATATTGAAAGCATTAGGATAAGAGAAAACCTTGGACTGTGAGCTCACCAAACAAAATCAATAGCTCTGTATTATTCTCAAGATAAAACAAACCTGTGCAGAGACAAACAGTATAGCTGACTCAAGAAATCTTTACCTCTCAGAGTTGTACTCAATTTTCTAAATATGATTTTATGTTAGTGATTGGCTAATATTAACAAAATAATTTTAGGTTGTATAGTTTACCCTGAAAAACAGAGGTTTGTTTATAAAATTCCTCCACAAAGCTGTGATGTAATATTCACAGCTTTATTTATGCCCAGTTTTTTTTACTATATATTAGAATGGATTCATCACCGTCTAAGACAGTTATAATTTGCTCTAGGCAAGATGGTGAGCATTTTTGGACATAGCTCCCCTTTCTTCCAAGGCTCAAACTATGCACAGCAATAACCACAAATGAGTATGTTTTCTAGGAATGGTGCATTCTAGGGTATAACCCATCCCATTTATCACATTAGTATTATTTCCTAGTAAACTGACTAGTCACCTGCATGCACATACTATAAGGTTAGACAAGAAGCAGGAGAGCTTCTTACTAAGACATTGAGTGCATATATACCATTTATATAGTGCATTTATAAATATGGTATATTTGAAGTCTTGTTATATCTCCAAACATATTTAATTTACCCAACAACACTGGTATTCATATTTTGTAAAAACTGAAACTCAGAAAATTCAAGCCATCTGTTGAGAAGTCACACTGACAGTAAAGGCCAAAACCATTCCACTCTAAGCCTCACAATGTTAACCAAAAAATTACAATGGAAGTTCTACTTTAATAGCTCTAAATTGGTTTGAATGGAAAATAAAATCTAGTAGTAGCCTTACAGGGAAGATTGATTCTTTTACTAATAATAAGAATAATTATGCAGTGAATAATTAAGGAGTTTATATTATCAAAATCAAGGTTTTGTATGAATTAAAATGCCACTAGTAGGTTTCAAGAAAAAAGTATAAACCCACAAGAACCAAAGAAAATGGGAGAGATGATAATAACCATTAAATTTAAGATGGGAAGCACATTATTAGTAGAACAACAAACAGAAATAAAACGCAAGAAACAACCAATTTCAATAAAATATACTCGAGAGCCTTAAAAGTTTATGGCATCAAGTACTTGCGCAAGTAAGGTTGAGGATGGCTGAAACAGGAGAGTATTTTGAGATTCTATTTAGGTTTAAGGGTGTGTGTGTGTGTGTGTGTGTGTGTGTGTGTGTGTGCATGCATGCGCACATGCATGCACGCATGTGTGTGTGATATATATCTTTATAATTAAATACAGTCTGTTTATGAGATTCCAATAATGTTATTCATGACTGGTAAATAGAGGAATGATGTCACTATAACACAGAATGTATTTTGGTTTACATGAGAATTTTCTGAGAATTTTCATATTTTATGCCAAGTACCAGTAGTTCAACACAGTGCACAGTGTCAGCTGAGAGCAATAAACCAAACAAATGTTGTACATATATGATGCAAATTCACCCCACATTCTTCCCCTTTGCCACAGTCTTTGTTCTGGAGGTGTTATCGGGTGGTCTTTTCAAATCTTTCCACAACTCAACAGCTCCAACTCTTCTTTACATTCCCATCTATGGAGGTAGCTTTATAGTATTTTAGGTAAAAAGATATATTTATTATAGTGCTTCATTATTTGATAATTTAGTATGTATTTAACTGTACTTGTAGTTTTCCTTAGGAATTGTTGTTGTCAGCATTCTGGTTTTTATTTTCACTGATATTAAGTAGGCTGTTCTTAATTTTATTTTTTCTTCATAACTCTATGTCTAATTTTGTATGATGTGAAAGGTTATAGCAGCATATAAGGTACTTTGCATACACAGCAAATAACATGTCGAAACTCTTGTGGGGAGATTTCCAAAATAAACATAAAATTTTAAAGGGGTGATAAATATGCAACAGCATACATGGTGTGATTCCATTTCTATATGAAGGAAGCAAGATGAAATCATACATAGACTTGCTTTTGTATCACAGCATACATATTTTTAAGAAACCTTCCAGGTAGATAAGACAATGGCAGAAACCTGTGAATAGTTCTGCATATTTCAGTATTTTCTCCTAAAACAAAATAGAACAAGAATAAAAGAAAAAAATTCACTGAAACCATGCATTCAGCTTAAGTTGAAAGTAGAGAATGCCCAAACTTAAAAATAACTGAAATAAAAGTTTGGGAGAAAAAAGTAGAGAAGTCACCAAATCTTAGTGCACAATGCCTTTTGCTCCTGCCCTACTTCAAGTCTTTATAGCAAAAGGGGTACCCCATAAGAAAGAGAAGAGTAGAAGTAAAGAAAGAAAGAGAGGAAAGAAAAGTGCTAGGAAGAGAGAAGAGCTACCAATAGGCCTTAAAGTTATTCTGAAACTAATGTCATTATGAGTGTATTAACTATAATGGTGACAAATTTTAAAAAGGTGTCCTGGAAAGATAACTGCATTATTTACATAGAAGAAATTTAAAGTTCTCCCTATGTGAAGTGGCAGTCTTTGAAACACACCGCAACTGAGAAAGGAAAAAAAAAAAAAAAGAAGAGGTACCAAATATGGAAAAATAATGAAATATAACTAACATTTTAAGATCTGTTCCTAAATATTTTCCTGAAAAGAGTAAAGACCTAAATCTACAAATTGAAAAGGGAAACAGGAGAAAATTAATTAGAATGATTAGTACCTATAAGTATCCTATTAAAGCTATTAAATGTGGAGATAGAGATTAAAAAATACTGAAGCTCTTCAGTTAAAATGATCAAATAATTTACAAGGCAAAAATAATTAGACTGATGTTCAATTTTTTTAAAGAGACATTCAAAGCAATCCCATAATGTAGTAGGATTTTCAAAAAATTAGTAAAATAAAGCGTGAACCAAGTATTTTATATCTAGTTAAGCATTCCTTAAATAGAAAGGTTATAGAAAAATTCAAGCACACATGAATTTAGGGATTGCTCTACTAATGAGACCTTTTAGAGAAACTAGAACATGCTCCATCTAAACAAGAGATGCCTGGAGAAAATTCAGCAAGAGAACTAATAGTGAGCATTTTAATGTATGCAATTTAAATTTAATGCTAAAACAAAAGTAAGGATGAGGGTGGACTACTAATGTACAAGTTCCTTATGTTGTGATAAAGTATAATTTTTTAATGGAAGGAGAAAGAAAATATAAAGAAGAAATTTGAATGCATGCATTGATTGTTGTGTAGACAATGGGAGATAAAGGAAAACACTGAAAACTGACAAACCAGGTGGTAAAAAATGAGCATGACAACTGGGAACTAAAGGCATTAAAAGGCCATAAGTCTAAAGGTAATAACTAGAACAAAGTTCCATCCTCCCAAAATACATCAAAGAAAATTTGATCTTATTATATGGAAAAAGTAACATAAAATTATAACATAAAACACGTAATTGTAAAGTGTTATGACAGAAATAAGACCAAACATATCAGACATGTCAATAAACGTGAACAGCCTTAGTTCACCTATTAAAAGAAAAATATTTTCAATTTGCTCATTGCTCGTAAACGGAGACTTAACTACATGAGTATGTTGTATTCAAGAGGCAAACCTAAAAAAAGTGCCTTACAAAGGCAAAATATTAAGGGATGGACAAAGACATATGAGGCAAATACAAACAAAATAGAAGGGTTAACAATTATTTTATCAGACCTACTACAATTTAAGCCCACAAGCATTAAAGGCAAAAGGAGGTATTTTTAGAGCTAAAAGTTCAGTTGACACAAAGATGTTAATAAACCACAATAATGGGAATAAAGGAGAAAATAACCTAAAGAAATTACCTTCTTGACTATCTAAAATAGGCATACAAAAATACTGTAATTTAATTATTTAAGTTTTTTTCTACATGGATTTGGTGTAATAATTCTGAGATTTTGCATATTTGAGGATTAAGCAAATTAATACATATGTTTTAATGATGAAATTAAAAGTTATTATCATTGAAGAATGGAGTTGCACATAAATAAAAGCGAAGGCCCTAAGGTATTGGTTTGCCCATGACCAGTAACAGTAAGCACTTACAATTTTCTATGTCAATGACACTGTAGGAAAAAAGAGCACAGCTATTTTCTTGATGTTGGTTTCTAAATATAGGCTCAAGTAAAAGAAAACAAGGCTACTTACCAAAATGGGTGATTCCAAGACTGGGGCAAGGGAAGCACAAGTCTGGAATATCCTGTTGTACAAAAGAAGTAGAGAGGGGTCAAAATAAAAAAGGGGCAGTTCCAACAAACAAAACATCATTTTGGTGAGATTCATATAGGTTTGTACTTGTAGTTATACTTCATACTCATTAGTGCATTTGTTCCCATTGTATGAATACACCAAAATGTATTTCATGCATTCTCTGTTGATGGGCATTTGAATAGTTTCCAGTTTGGGTCTATTAAAATTATGTTGCTATGAACATTTTGTACATGTCTTTTGATAAACATGCATACATTTCTGTTTTGTTCATATTTATAAGAAGGAATGCTAGGTCAGAGGGAATAAGTATATTCTGTTTTGACAGGTACAAGTAATCAATTTTCTAAAGAGGTTTTACCCATTTACTTTCCTAAGAGCAGTGTATGAATTCTAACTGCTCTATATTCTATCCAAACCTCACACTTTTCTGCCTTTTTATGTTACCTATTCGGATTTTTAAAGAAGTCAGTAAATTGAGATAGATTATCTCAAGTAATGACTGTTAATTGGCAGCTGACCTCAGCATAATTATACTCTGAAAGTCAAGAGATAGTAGAAAATTTATCTTTAAAAAGATCTTCCAGCTTCTGTTCCAGACTTCTTATAGCCTATCATCAGCATAACCAGAATGATTTTATCAAAGCATTGTCAGATCATGTAACTTCCCACTTCAAAACTGTCCAATAGTTTTCTATCTTATTCTAAATAAAGGAAACGACCCACCCCACAAATTCTTAATATAATGAGATCTTCATGAATTAGCACCCTTTTATAATTCTGACCTTTCCACCTCCTTATATGGCCCCAGCCACCTAGACCTTTTCTCTGTTCTTTGACCACACACCAAGCATTCTCCTATCTCATGTTCTTTGCAGTCTGTTTCTTAACATGAAAAACATTTTCCCCAGATGTTCACATGGCTTCTTCATCAGGTCTTCTCTAAAACTTATGAAACATCAATCTTCCTATCACTTTCTACCTTTTTTTTTTTTTTTTGGAAATAGAGTGTTACTCTTGTCACCCAGGCTACAGTACAGTGATGTGATTAGTGCTCACACCAGCCTCAATTTTCGGGGCCCAGAGCACAAAAACGCAGGTCCAATTTTTAAAAATTAAAAAAAAAAATTTAAGTCTTCTGGACTCAAGCAATCCTCCCGCCTCAGCCTCCCAATTTGCTGGGGCCACAGGCACATGCCATCCCATCTGGCTAATTTTTAGAAAACTTTTGTAGAGACAGGGTCACCTTATGTTGCCCAAGCTGATCTCCAACTGCTGGGCTCAAGCAGTCCTCCTGCCTACACCTCACAGAGTACTGGGATTACAGGCATGAGTCACCAGGCCCAGCTACTTTCTATCTTTGTTGTATTATTCTGTTCCTTAGAATGTATCTCCATGTAACATCTTAACTTTACTTCTTGATATTATGTGTCTGTCTCCCTTTATTAGTCCATTAAGCAACGCTTTTTTTTCAGGTTTTAAAACACACTACTGTATAGCCATGGGTTAGAACAACAACCAGCACATAAAAAATCGTGAATAAATTAACACATTAATAAGTTAATAAAACCTAACAAAACATTGGTCTTCAATATTTTGATATTATTTGTATAGTTTTACTTTTTCTTTGGACTTACACTGCTTTGCTTTCATATTAATTTTTGGCTTGATTAATTTCATAAGTTTTGGAAATTTTTCAGCTTGCATTTATTAAAACATAAATTTTTCTTTTTCTCTTTATTTCCTTCTGGAACTATAGTGACACATAGTTTAAACTTTTATGCCATATTCCTATGTCTCTTTCATGTTTTTCTCTGATTTTTATTTCTGTAATTTCTCTGTATTTCTATCTTGACATTTTCTATTTCTTAGTCTTAAAATTTAGGAATCTTCTGTTATCTCTTAAACACCAACTTATATTCACTATATTTTTCATTTCTATGAAGTGTTTGCTTCCTGTTTTGTGGATTCAAATTATCACATGAAATTAACTTCTTATCCATTTTATTAAAATTGTTAGTTCCATTTAAATCACCTTTGGAAAATTCCAGTCATTTGATCACTTGTGGATTTGCTGTTTTATTAATGTTCTTGATTTTTGTCATTTGGTCCTTATTTCCTCTTAATTCTGATAATTGTTTTAATTTCACATGCATGAATAATACCAAAGACCCTAGATAATATTTTTTTCTCCCTAGTGGTTTAATTTTTTTTCCTACAGGCAGATGAAGTTTGGGAAGATTATCTTATCCCAGATCAGGTATGCCATTTTTTATAATCCTAGAGTTTATCACTTTTGAAGTGAAACTCAAATAACTTGAATTCTTACTGTAGTTCTTCATTCTTGTCATGCTGGGATATCAGTTTGTCTTCCAGCAGCACTTAATATTCTAGAAAAAGTGGTTATTGTTATGGTCATTTTGGAATCTGTTTTATGCTTTCTGAGCCTCTCACCCAATACATGAGCTCTTTAACAGTTGGTAAATAGGCTGGGCACAATGGCTCACACCTATAATCCCAGCACTTTGGGAGGCTGAGGTGGGTGTATCACGAGGTCAAGAGATCAAGACCATCCTGGCAAACATGGTAAAACCTTGTCTCTACTAAAAATACAAAAATTAGCTTGGCGTGGTGGTATGTGCCTGCAGTCCTAGCTACTAGAGAGGCTGAGGCAGGAGACTCGCTTAAACTCGGGAGGTGGAAGTTGCAGTGAGCCGAGATCATGCCACTGCACTCCAGCCTGGCAATAGAATGAGACTCCATCTCACAAAAATAAATAAATAAATAAATAAATAAATAAATAGTTGGTAAAAAAGATAAAATTATGTGGAGAATTTTGAGTTTACTCAATTTTCTTTTCCCAATAATGATACTTTTGTAGTCCCTGAAGTCCTTGTTTTCCTCTGGTTTATTTAAATACATTTTTTAAAACTTTATTTAACTGCTTCTAGTTCATGCCAGGATAGTTAGTTTAAAACAAGTTAGGATATTCTTGCTAAATGTAAAAATTTCTCTGAAGATACATTTTGGATTAAAATATGCAGGTATTTCAAATAAAAGAAAGCTGTGGTCTGAAAAATGAGAAAAAAAATTCTCCTTTCATTTCTAGGCGAAGAAATATTAATGATAAACCCAAACACCCTTCTTTCATTGACAGATTTTTAAATTTAATAGCAGAGAAGGTACCGATACCCAATAAGTATCATGGAAATTTAAAGTCCTTTTTTTTAAACATAAAGTTGATAAGGAAAAAATTATATTTTTTCTCACTGTATAGATATCTGTCTTTTCTTCCTTTCTCTTTTTTTTTTTTTTTTTTTTTTGAGATCGTCTCTGGCTCTGTCACCCAGGCTGGAGTGCAATGGCATGATCGCAGCTCACTGCAACCTCTGCCTCCTGGCTTCAAGAGATTCTCCTGTCTCAGCCTCCCAAGTGGCTGGGATTACAGGTGTGAGCCACTACACCCAGCTAATTTTTGCATTTTTAGTAGAGGTGAGGTTCGCCATCTTGGCCAGTTTGGACTCAAACTTCTAGCCTCAGATGATCGACTGCCTCGGCCTCCCAAAGTGCTCCCAAATACAGAGATATCTATATATCACTATAGATAGTGATATATAGCCTCCCAAATACTGGGATATCTATATATCTTTACAGTGAGTAGAACAGAATATTTCTAAAAAGAAAACAAAACAATCACAACAAAAATATTTCTCTGTATGAAAAAAGGTAAAACAAAAAGGAAGACTGGCTACATAATTTTCAGAGCCCAGAGCACAAAAATGCAGATCCAATTTTAAAAACTAAGAATTGCAAAATACCTATAGCAGAATATTAAACATGTTTTAGAGACTAGTAAATATTCTTCCTTTATTTCTAAAACTTATAAATAGAAAATGATTCAAACATTTACCTCATTGTAATGTTCTAAATGATTTGTATGGTGCACAATATGTATACATGCAGTAACACATTATCCACTGGGGAAAACATTCTATACAATAACAATACGTACATGAAGCACTTATTCTTTTAAAAGGATATATGTTAGCTGTGTAGAAAAATAACTTACACTGCTCTTGATATAGCAAAAAATGTGTTTTCTATAGTAAATATAATATATATCTTCTTGAGAGCTCTTCTGAGAGCTGCCATTTATGCACATGGAGCCATTGTTTTCATTCTACTATTAATACTTTATTTTGAGCCCAAACATTCACCAATGTTATCACTTCTTTTTCATATCATGATACAGTTTCTTGGTAAAAATTAAGTTAAATGTAAAATCATACAGTGGAACATTATGACTCCTCCAATTTGAAATAAATTTGACAAAACTAGGTATCAACTATTGCTTAATAATTTAAAAATAGCTGATTACTTAACATTCTTCCCATTAATCATGCTCTCTCATACTTTTGAAACTGGTTTTTCTATTCCTTTCGCTTGGAATGCTTTTATCATCCTCATCTAACTCTCAATTCCTTGGCTATATTTCAGATTTGGTTTAGACATAAATTCATAAAGTTGGAACTTGCTGGCTGCATTCTGGCTGACTCTCTAGTTCCATAGCACCTGACCGATCATTGATGGGCCATTGGATATAGAATACTAGAATAATGTGTCTTGTATTACCAGTACATCTGTTCCTCATGGCAGATCCCTGCTTTTGTAATCTTTGTATTCCTAGCATATAGTAGGTGTTCAACAAATAGCAGTTTGACCAAACTGACATAAAATACACCAATTTTGTTTGTAATTTTATTCATCAAACATTTCTTGAATACCTAGCACTTTTCAAACAGTGGACAAATACCAGTGAGAAAGACAGATATGGTTACTGCCCTTACATAACTAAAAATACCAGCAACAAAGATTAAAAATGAAAAATAAATCTACTATGATCACAGCTATAAGGAGAGGACAGGGTATCAACAGGCGTGTAACAATGATCTTACGATTCCAAGATTACTTAGCATAAAATGATGTTGTTAAACAGATGTCTTTAGTATTTGTATTAAAAACATTATCAGAAAGATTGTGCAATGATCAATCTTGTTAAGCCTATTGTTTTATTCTTAGTGATGTTATCCCCCTTTTCAATTTTAGACTTTATTTTAAATTTATATTATTAACCAGCTTTCCAATGAAACATCTTTACTTTATATCTGCTCTTTGACAATATTAAAATGTATATGTTGATATGAACTGTGAAACATATTATCTTATTGTTAAGCCTTCTGTTTTAAGATGTAGATGTAATTTTAATGACATATATCAAATGATATATAATTAACTGATTATATATCAAATGATTACAAAGAAGCTTTGTTAGAGAACTCCATTCCAATGTTAGTATAAAGTAGAATCACATGAAGTTATAAGTGACATAGACTCTAAGATTATCTTGTCCAGTACTATAATATTTATATCTCTATTTACATACCTATAGATGAAATATTTATTTTCAAATCTGACTTTACTTAACACACATATTATAAGTGTGCTCATTTTTACTACTTGGGCATAATTTATATTAAAAATTGAACAATTTATTGTCATCCTCATAAGTAAAAGGAGCATACACTGTCTTGACTACCAACGATCTCGAAATAGAAATAGCACCTTGGCGGACATGTTAAATGGAAAATAGTGCTTTTTTGTTTCCTATACTTACTATTCTTTGTCATCTTATATTATCCAAACCTGAGATGCCTAGACATGAGTAATTTTAGTAACTCAATCTCACTTATTTTGGAGAAGCTGCTATTCAGCTTTGGAAAATTAACTTTTGTTCATCAGCCATATTGCTTGAGAAGGAGACAAGTTTTCGATCTTCATGAAGAAAATATTTGGACACATCCTATGCATTATTAGCTTCCAAGTACAAGGTTGTTAACTAGTTACAAATTATAGTGAAGCAAAGTCATCCAAAAAAAGGAAGAAAATTCTAATTTTGAGCTATAATAAGATGATCCACATGAGTTGGGCTACCTTCTGTGCAAACCTATAAGTGTTCTCCATGAGTTAGTAGTTAACTAATTAACTATTAGTAGTTAGTAGTTAACTAATTAACTATTAGTAGTTAATAGTTATGATACTAGTTATTAGTAGTTACTAGTTAGTATTACTAACTAGTACTAGTAACTACTATTAGTTACTAGTTAACTAACCAGTGAGTTGTGGCCTTGGGATAACTTTAAAGTCTTCAAATTCTAATACTTAAGTTTATTTCACATGTGGACTTCTGAGTTGTTTATTTTTCAGTAGATACTATGAACAACTTATTTATTACTTTTTCCTAGGTTTCTTAAAAGACTGAGACCCCAGATGAATAATTTAACTTTCCCTACCCATTGGAGAAGGTAGAAAACTACCCAACGTGTGTAGTCCGGCCTTTGATCCTGGAACACTAGGACACAATTAGTTTAGAAAAATAAATATATTCCAAATAAGCTAAGATTATTTCTTCTTGAGAGCAAAGGAATAATATAGCAAGTTAGCTTTTCTATATTAATTTAAAAGCCTACATGGGCATGGATATTAAATGACATGTCTCTGTTAAAATTGTAAATACGTGGCAAAAATCTTCTTAGCAGTGATAAAACATAGAAATACTTCAGTTTTTAACCTCAAAAGATATTACTTACATGTGAATATATTAGTCCCTGTACCATATCTGAGCTATAAAGAGTGTCAAATAATGTCTTCTATAAATAAAATAGAACCAATTTAAAAAAAGCTAAAAAAGTAAACTATAAAACATCTTGTTCTAAATTATTTTAAATATTTAAAACCTCTAGTAGAAACTATTATTAATATCAATTTTGCTTTTCGTCTCCAAAGACACAAAAAATAAAAATCACAGAAAAACAAACTTGAAAAAAAGTTCAGATTTCCAGCAAATAAAATTAATACTTCAGATATTCTCCCAGAGATTTATACTTGTATTTTCTTTCTAAGCATATCTTTGGTTGAAATCAACGCTTACATATAAACCTGTCTATGTAATTTTCAGGGCTCAGTGCAACATAAAAGCGCCACGTTAAAGAATTATTAATAATTACAAGATAGCAACAGCAGAGGGTTAAACTAAGCATGGTGCCATCTTTGTATTGGGTCCTGTGTGATTCTGAGGTTACTTGCCTAAGAAGTGGGCCGTGCTTATACTTTCTCTCCATAGTTGCTTCTCATTCTATAATTGCTTCACTTTTATGCCCCTATTTCCATTTCAAACTCATGTTGGGGCTTATTACAAAGTATATGAATATTTATTAAAAATATTGAAAATGGTCATAATTGTATTTATTTATTTATTTATTTTGAGGTGGAGTCTCGCTCTGTTGCCCAGGCTGGAATGCAGTGGCGCAATCTCTGCTCACTGCAAGCTCCGCCTCCCAGATTCACGCCATTCTCCTGCCTCAGCCTCCCGAGTAGCTGGGACTACAGGCGCCCGCCACCACGCCCGCTAATTTTTTGTATTTTTAGTAGAGACAGGGTTTCACCACATAAGCCAGGATGATCTTGATCTCCTGACCTCGTGATCCGTCCGCCTCGGCCTCCCAAAGTGCTGGGATTACAGGCATGAGCCACCGCGCCCGGCTGAAAATGGTCATAATTTTAATGCAAAAAAATATGTTTGAATACATTGGTTAGTGAATTGCTGGTCAGCATGTATAGTCGAGAAAATTATCCTCGGCTGATTCATTATAAATACTGCAGGAAATAAAACCAATGAAAGTCTTTTTTGGTTAATTGGTATCAATTGCCCTTGTATGGATTTATGTAGATGAAACCATTTAGTGTTTGTAGCGTGCATTGATAATCCTGAACAAATTATTTGTATCTAATACTGTTGTAGTGTGGGCTAAGCTTTGCTAAGTACCCACTAAGAAATTGAGACCAATAGAATGCAATGAAGAAATGAGCACTACCTATTATATTAATGTGGAAATTACTCAAATTTGATTACAAGTGGAACATTTGAGAAAACTGCTATTTAAAGTTCCCTATTAAAAATTACATTTGTCTATTTTAAAATTTTGAGGCCGGGCACGGTGGCTAACGTCTGTAATCCCAGCACTTTGAGAGGCCGAGGCGGGCGGATCACGAGGTCAGGAGATCGAGCCCATCCTGGCTAACACGGTGAAACCCCGTCTCTATTAAAAATACAAAAAATTACCCGGGCATGGTGGCGGGCGCCTGTAGTCGAAGATACTCAGGAGCCTGAGGCAGGACAATGGCGTGAACCTGGGAGGCGGAGCTTGCAGTGAGCCGAGATCGTGCCACCGCACTCCAGCCTGGGAGACAGAGCGAGACGCTGTCTCAAAAAAAAAAAAAAAAAAAATTGAAATTCACAGAGGAAAGCTATTGTATTATGGTTAAAAATAAGTTATTGCCTATATTTTAGATATATTAGTAATAACAGTCTCATATTAAAATACCAAAAAAGATGGATGTGTATCATGAATTAATTTGCTTTTGTAATAATTAAAATACAGCAATGTGTATATGCATAGTAGAAAATAAAACAGTACTAAAGTAACCATAGTTCAATGGAATAGTTTCACCTCTGCCCAGGGCCAAATCCCAGAAAACTTTTTTATTACCTCCAAATTATTAAATAGTATGCTCTATGGGTCTTTAAATTTATCATCATTAGAAATTATCTCGTGACTTATTGTTATAACAGCTGAGACTCTGGATCATATTCATCTTCCCTTATTTCTTTCTACTAATTCTTCAACCTCCATTTTTTGTACTGTTTCAGATCCTCTCTTGATTTGACTCTCAGATGTTAATTTCCCTTCCCACCGTTCTTTTTCTGAGAGTTATAGCTTTGCCTTTATGTTGTCTAGGTTAATAAAATTTATATGGGTGAATAATGAAGTTTTTAAACAAGGCGGAAACGAATAAATGACTTGTAACCAAGCCACTTGCATAGCCAGTAGTATGCTGATGGCGAACTTCCTTCCCTGTTGGTTCAATTTCGTATCTCTGACCTACTGAAGAATGTAATCTACATCTTGTTGAAATTGATTATATTTTCTTACACTTCAGCTAAAAAGTATGGTTTGCTATGGTTGTTATATATTAGGATCAGGTTTGGTTTATTTTCCCAGAATTTCAAATCTTTGCTTTGTTCTTATTGAGTGAAGTAATGTGAGCTTCTTTAGTATAGCCTTATTCTATTCCATATATTCCTTTTTATCCAATATGGTTTTTTCTTCCAGATTTGTTTTTAGAGGTCACTCAACTTAGGCTCTAATTTGGACCTCTTTTTTAAGTTCTGCTTCTTTGCTCATATAGCAAGTTGCCATTTCATTCTCCTGGAATGCCAGATGAATTTCACTATTGCTGGTATAGCCATCATTTGTTTTTACTTTTAACTCCTCTTTTCCTTGTTTATATGTAAAAACAAAACTTTCCAAAAAATGAAGGTAATAATAAAGAAAAAGGAAGGAAAGAAGGAGGACAGAAGTGAAGAGAAGGAGGGAGGAAGGAGGAAAAATATAGAAAACGTGGAAGGGAAATGAGGAAGATATAAATTGGGAGGTAAAATTTTTCTGAGTCGAATGATTCTATAGTTACAGAATCCTAGCTTCCCAATCATATTTTATAATCAAAGAATTGAATATATTTTACATTTTTTGTATATTCTACCATGATTGATGAAAATCTGATGTGATTGACTTATATTTTCACTCTGGAAACAGTGTTCTGCAAATTCGAAGTCATGTATCCAGGTATAGTCTTATTTATTTGTATTTTCCACCTTTTCAAAAGGGGACTTAGCAGACCCTTCCCATTTTGATATTTTTTCTTTATTTTAAGCTTTTATAAGTTAATTCTCTTCCAACAGTAGTTATTTACTCTTCTCCATATTTTTTCCTATTCTCTCCTATCAAATTCTGTAATTCATATATTGACACTATTGGAATGTTACATTATGCCTCTTTTCTCTCAAAATCAACTTTTTAAAGTTTTTATTTAACTCTAAATAAGAAGATTTTCTTTCCTTAATTTCTAATCTTTAGGGTTTTTTTCTTTTCCCTAATAAATACTTGATTTTATTTATATTATTGTTGTTGTTTAGGGACAGGGTCTCACCCTGTTGCGTAGACTTGTGGTACAATGGCACCATCATAAGCTCACTGCAGCCTTGAAATCCCAGGCTCAGTTGATCCTCCTGACTCGGACTCCCAAACATTTAAGAATACAGGTATGCACCTGGCTATACATGCTTAGTTTTAAGTCACTTTTGCCTTCTCCTCTCCACCTACTCCTCATCTTTTTTTTTTCTCTCATTTTTTATAACATCATGTTCTGGCTTTATGTAATCAACACGTTCTTGAATCTTTCTGAAAATATAAATTTAAGATGTTTAAATTTTTGTTTGAGGCCTTTAATTCTCTCTTCATTCTTTTTATTGCTCTTTATTCTTTTTGACTTTCCTTTTTTTGCTCTGCTGCTGATTTTTATCATATGTATAACAATCAGTATAGATATCCCCATTTAAATGTATGGACAGGGACATTTTCTAGGTAGCTAGAATAGATTTCCCCTATTGTTGAAAGGAGGAGAACACCATAGACATATGTAAGGATGCTGACTGACTCACTTCTTTTTAGGATGAATAAACCAAAATTCTGAATTTAAGCCAAGGGCCTCTCAAAGGTCAGAAGGCTTTAAACATTGGAGCCAGCATCTACCCTAGGATCTCTAATCCTTTTAGGAATTTTGATAAATCTTTCATGTGTCCTTTAGGTCTCCACTGATCCAGATAAAGCGTAAGGTACTTAAACTCCCTGTATAATCAAAAATGGCCAGATACAGGACAAGGGGTATAAATAGAGTGAAGTCAACTCTTCCAGTTGTTCCATATATGGCCAGTCTATTAACCACCCACACCCCTCGCCCTCTTCCTACAGTTTTATACCCCATCTGATTCTCCTGCAGACTCATATCCAGGTACCTTTTTGGTCCTGTTCTGACCTGTCTGCCAAAATTGGCTGCATTATTTTCTTTTGCCATTTTCTCCCTTACTTCATCAGTAGAAATGCGTCAACAATCTCTTTATTTTCTTAGACATGGGTTAAATGTATTACTCAACCAGAGTTGCTCATTCCCAAACCACCCATGCATCCCTAGATTTCTTGGCTGGCACAAGTCCATTTGCTTACCCTCATTGTAAATGGGCCTTAGGAAGGATAAAAGACAGTGTATATTCTCAGAGCACTCTTTGATGATTATCTTTGTTCCTATTTTATGCACTCCTCTAGAGAAGTTACATTTTTCTATTTATTCCCTCCACAGCTATTCTTAAAATTAACAAAAAATACATGTTCTTACCTCCCATCAAAAATGTATCTAATTCCATTTTATAATAAACTTCACTATTATAAAGTCATTGCTTATTTATATACAATGCAGTAATTTTCACTCTCTTTTTAAAAGTTATCATTAGCTCTGTCATCACTTCTTCCGAAATTCCTTTCCTTCCTTCTGGTTTTTGTTATTTTCATAATAGAAAATTGTTTATAATTCTGTCCACCACAGTCTGCAAGTAGTGAACTTTCTGATTTATTATTTTGTCTAAAAATGTTCTTTTTATCTTAATTTTGAATGATATTTTAGCAGCATATGAATATCTAAGTGTGAGTTATTATCACTGAGCAAATGGAAAATGTTTTCCAGTGTCTCTCTGTCGCAAATATAAATCCTTTCATTGGTCGAAATTTTATCGCATTTTTATAATGCCTGCATTTTCTCCCTGTTTTAAAATTCCTCTATCTTTTGATATTCTGCATTCTGCACTTTCTATTTTAAAATTCTTCTTTGTTTTGATATTCTTTTTTTTTGACATTTCAGATGGAAACTTTATTAAATGATTCTGTATTACAAAAATAACCTGTGGGCTTGACAAATAATATCATGTAAATAATCAATAAGTTGGCCATCTAAACTGAATTTTCAAGGGAAATAAAAAGAACTTTGGTTCGTGACCAAATAACAATGTGTGATCAAGTTCCATGATATATGCTTTAATGGCCAAAAATTTGTTTTTTTTGTTTTTTGTTTTTTTGGGTTTTTTTATTTATTATTATTATATTTTAAGTTTTAGGGTACATGTGCAAAATGTGCAGGTTAGTTACATATGTATACATGTGCCATGCTGGTGTGCTGCACCCACTAACTCGTCATCTAGCATTAGGTATATCTCCCAATGCTATCCCTCCCCGCTCCCCCGACCCCACAACAGTCCCCAGAGTGTGATGTTCCCCTTCCTGTGTCCACATGTTCTCATTGTTCAATTCTCACCTATGAGTGAGAATATGCGGTGTTTGGTTTTTTGTTCTTGCGATAGTTTACTGAGAATGATGATTTCCAATTTCATCCATGTCCCTACAAAGGACATGAACTCATCATTTTTATGGCTGCATAGTATTCCATGGGGTATATGTGCCACATTTTCTTAATCCAGTCTATCATTGTTGGACATTTGGGTTGGTTCCAAGTCTTTGCTATTGTGAATAATGCCGCAACAAACATATGTGTGCATGTGTCTTTATAGCAGCATGATTTATAGTTCTTTGGGTATACACCCATTAATGGGATGGCTGGATCAAATGGTATTTCTAGTTCTAGATCCCTGAGGAATCGCCACACTGACTTCCACAATGGTTGAACTAGTTTACAGTCCCACCAACAGTGGAAAAGTGTTCCTATTTCTCCACATCCTCTCCAGCACCTGTTGTTTCCTGACTTTTTAATGATCGCCATTCTAACTGGTGTGAGATGGTATCTCATTTTGGTTTTGATTTGCATTTCTCTGATGGCCAGTGATGGTGAGCATTCTTTCATGTGTTTTTTCGCTGCATAAATGTCTTCTTTTGAGTAGTGTCTGTTCATGTCCTTCACCCACTTTTTGATGGGGTTGTTTGTTTTTTCTTGTAAATTTGTTTGAGTTCATTGTAGATTCTGGATATTAGCCCTTTGTCAGATGAGTAGGTTGCGAAAATTTTCTCCCATTTTGTAGGTTGCCTGTTCACTCTGATGGTAGTTTCTCTCGCTGTGTGGAAGCTCTTTAGTTTAATTAGATCCCATTTGTCAATTTTGGCTTTTGTTGCCATTGCTTTTGGTGTTTTAGACATGAAGTCCTTGCCCATGCCTATGTCCTGAATGGTAATGCCTAGGTTTTCTTCTAGGGTTTTTATGGTTTTAGGTCTAACGTTTAAGTCTTTAATCCATCTTGAATTGATTTTTGTATAAGGTGTAAGGAAGGGATCCAGTTTCAGCTTTCTACATATGGCCAGCCAGTTTTCCCAGCACCATTTATTAAATAGAGAATCCTTTCCCCATTGCTTGTTTTTCTCAGGTTTGTCAAAGATCAGATAGTTCTAGATATGTGGCATTATTTCTGAGGGCTCTGTTCTGTTCCATTGATCTATATCTCTGTTTTGGTACCAGTACCATGCTGTTTTGGTTACTGTAGCCTTGTAGTATAGTTTGAAGTCAGGTAGTGTGATGCCTCCAGCTTTGTTCTTTTGGCTTAGGATTGACTTGGCGATGCGGGCTCTTTTTTGGTTCCATATGAACTTTAAAGTAGTTTTTTCCAGTTCTGTGAAGAAAGTCATTGGTAGCTTGATGAGGATGGTATTGAATCCGTAAATTACCTTGGGCAGTATGGCCATTTTCACGATATTGATTCTTCCTACCCATGAGCATGGAATGTTCTTCCATTTGTTTGTATCCTCTTTTATTTCGTTGAGCAGTGGTTTGTAGTTCTCCTTGAAGAGGTCCTTCACATCCCTTGTAAGTTGGATTCCTAGGTATTTTATTCTCTTTGAAGCAATTGTGAATGGGAGTTCACTCATGATTTGGCTCTCTGTTTGTCTGTTGTTGGTGTATAAGAATGCTTGTGATTTTTGTACATTGATTTTGTATCCTGAGACTTTGCTGAAGTTGCTTATCAGCTTAAGGAGATTTTGGGCTGAGACAATGGGGTTTTCTAGATATACAATCATGTGGTCTGCAAACAGGGACAATTTGACTTCCTCTTTTCCTAATTGAATACCCTTTGTTTTGATATTCTGCTTTCTGCACTTTCACTATAATGTGTACATATGTGAAGATCTATCTCTGTATATATCTAGCATTATATATATATATATATATATATATACATATATATATAATGTGTGTGTGGCTATATATACATATTATATATATATACATATACGTGTCTAAATATATACACATAACTTCATATATACATATATACAACTTTATATATAAATTCCTTAAGCTTCTTCAGTTTGAGGATCAATATCTTTTAACAATTCAAGGAAATTATCAGCTATCTGTTCTAATATTGCTTCTTACAAGGCTCTCAAATTTCTTATTCTTTAATTTCTATTATATTTATATTGTACCTTTCATCCTATATTAATATTTCTTAACCTCTTTTTTCCTATTTTTAATTTTCTTTTAACATCTATTGTTTATGTTTATGTTAATGTATTAATAGCTATTATGTACTTACTTTTCAGAATTTATGAATAATTTCTTCAGTTTTAATGTGTTTTTGAAACACTTCTGCTAAAATTTTTACTTCTAGCAGCTCTGTTTTCATTTCTAGAGATTCTGCTGGATTTATTACAAATCACTTGGCAATTTTCATGGGGTCTTTTTTTTTTATTTCATTTCTCCTTTTATACCTTAAATAACTTACCTCAATATTCTGAGAAATACTCTCTCAGATTTTTCAATTTCTTAAGTTCCAGGGATGCTATTCCTCCTTGGCTTTCTAGGCATATCTTCTGACTTAGTATCATTGTGGATTCTTTCATTATTATTATTATTATCATTACTATGGATGTGAACTAATCTTCAGTGGAAATTGCCTAATGTTTGGAAATAATGTGAGACCTGGATTGTGAAAAACAAAATAAACACGGTTTAACAGGTTTATTTTAATTTATTAATATCTTAGCTTGGTAATATAAATTCATACTCTAAATTTTAATAGCATGGATTAGAACGTTGATTTCTTTCACAAGAAAAAAATGTTCTTTCTTGTGTTTATATTCCCCTCTGAAGAACCTTGGCCCTAGGGGGAGATTAGCATCCTGGATGTCTTTATAGAGAGTGCATGGAGAGTTCTAGTCTCTTCCGCTTAGGGACAGCCTCGTGAGAGTCTGTGTAGGAGTCTCCCTTGCAGTTTCCTGCTATGTGCACAGGCAAGGCCTTGTTTATAATTTGCTGTTATTTTATCCAGTATTTTAGGATCTTATAGCAAAAACAAAATTTTGTATTAATTCGGTTCACCATGTTGCCACATTGCTCTGTATGGTAGCTAATAGCCTATTTAAACTTTATAAATCTGTTTATTATGTAAAGAAAAATGTGGTTGTAGATCCTGGGTCAGCAAACATTTTTCTTTGAATGGTCAGATAGCAAATATTTTAGGCTTTGTGAATCACATGGTCTCTGTTTCAACTATTGAACTCAGCCATTATAGCATGTAAACAGACACAAACAATACACAAACAACTGAGTATGACTGTGTTCTAATAAAATTTCATCCATTAGAGGAGGTAGGTTAAATCTGGGCCATGGGCCATGGGCCATTGTGCTGAACTCTGTTGAATCACAGATTCTTATTCGTTTTTTTTTGGTTTTTTTTTTTTTTTTTGATTCATATTAGTGTCGGTGTCATTTGGTTGTCCTTCTATTTTTTAATTTTTTTATTTCAATAACTTTAGGGGTACAACTGGTTTTTGATTACATGGATGAATTGTGTGATGGTATGAAGTCTGGGCTTTTATTGTACCCATCAGTTAGTGTTCATTGTGTAGATCACTGATTCTTATTCTGATTTCACATTCAGAATTCAGGAATGTCCATTAACCTCACTGAAAATGTCCACAACATAACTATGCGAGAGCTTTTGTAAATGTGTGAGTCTGCATATATGTTAATATGTGTGAGTCTGAATATATGCAAATGTGAGTATGTGTGTATGTGTATGTTTGGTGTGTGAATACATAGATGTCAATTAGAGTATGGGATCATTCATATTCACCTATAATTATTTATTTTCTGTGGAAAAAGGCTACATTTTCAAACATTTTAAAGATCCAAGGCTCTGAAAACATTAGTTAAATCATGCAAATATCCCTGAATTCTAAAGCTCTAGAATTGTCTGAAAAGCTTTTCTCTTAACACATTCCCTTTCTCATATAAAGCAAATCTAATAGATTTTAAATAACTTTAAAGTAATATTCTGGGACCCTTTTTATTTCAATAGGAGATGTGGGAGAGGGAGGCTGATACAGCTTAATACTACCATTTCTTTTGATAATTCTAGAACCATGCCATGACATATAAAGAATTTAAGGTCAACTTATTTAACAAAGTACTTCCTCTCCCACTAATTTTAACTGCTAATTTTAACCTCCTATCATCAAACCACTTGATGTTCAACTGCCGATGGAAAAACTAATCTCTGCCCATCTGGATGCACTCTATTATTTCCATATATATGTTGGCTCCAAAAGTATAAAAATAGTGCAACCATAGCTTTACCTTCTGAATAGAACAAAACCTTTTTTTTTTTCTTTTTGATCACTTGGGCTAAGACAGAGACACAAATAAATGCTAGTGCTTATTTCTGGCTTTTAGCCAAAGTTTCTGTTTAAGGTAGTTTAGAGTAGGTCATCACTGGCAGGCATTTTTGGCTGAGATTGTTTCTGAAAGAATAAAGTTAAATTAGCAATGGTCTAAAATTTATTTCTGAGCTCTTGTAATGGTTTAATTCTCATTTCTATGTATTATTAGTTAATCATTAATAATTGTAAGTAATACATTATGATTTTGCTCATCTGTAAATATAGTTGGAAATACCAAATTAATATTTGGAAGCAATATAATAATAGCTATTGATAAGGCATAAAAGTCTACCTTGGTAAACAGTCTGACAGTCAAAAATGAGTTCTAAAATACAATTTGAATATTATCTTTTTGAAAAAAAAAACAATGAAACTAAGGTATTCTTAGAATGATAGATTTTCAGGATTATATTTTAAATTCTTCCAATAACCAAACCATACTGTTTATACATAAGAAATCATAAACATATTATTTCCTTCAAATTAAATAGAATAGAACTAAATCTGGAAATCTAGCTCATCAGATTTTACCCATTGGTACCTCTAGAGTACTTTCAGTTAGGTTATTTAGATATTTTTTAAAATTTATTTTGTTCTTCTCATTTAGTTATGCCACAGGACCTTTAGGGTGTTGCTTCACCAGCCAGATACCTCTGCGGTGGGTGACACCTTTGCCTGAGTTTTGCTTGGGCCTGCTATACTTCTCCCACCCACTTGGCCTGACAGGCTGCACTCAGCTGTCACTACCAGCCCAGATCCCATGATCGCCAAGGGGAAGCAAGGCACAGAACAGTGAGGGGTACATGAGTGAGTGAACGCAGGCTCAGGTCACTGCGCACAGCCAGGCACACTGCCTGTGGTGGGGCAGTCAGCTCCAGGCACTGGCACAAGTACCAGTTCCCTGCTGCAGCTGGATCAGGCCAACCACAAGCAGCTTCCACTGTAGGCACTGGGGAACATGGTGGCGGCCAGAAGCTTGTAGATACCAGGAACTGCAGAGCCCCAAAGAGGGTGTCACAGCCCTGGCTCAGGGAGCTCCTAGGTCTGCACTCCACAGAGGGCCACAGCTATTCTTTCTTTCTCATTCCCCACAACATGGTGAGGAGGGGATATGTTTCAGCCCTGTTGTGTTATATATTTTTCAGTCTCAGCATTTGGCAGGTCCCAACTTCTTGTCCCACAACCAGGAAGAATGAGGTATGTGAACAACTAGAGGGTGAGCAAGGTGAAGAGGTACTTTATTGAGCAACAGTACATCTCTGAGGAGACGTGAAGTGGCTAGTTCCTATCCACAGTCAGGTCATTGCAATAAGTATAGAGTTCTCAGCAGAGTGGAGACCCACAGTGGGTAGCTCCTCTCCACAAGAAGGTCATCCCATTGAGTCTGCAGCCTGCAGCCCTCAGCAGATAGGAGACCCAGAATGGGTACCTCCTATCCACAGGCAGGTCATCCTGACATTTCTGCAACCCTCAGCAGAGAGGAGACCTGGAGTGTGTAGCTCTTTTCCGCAAGCAGGTTGCTGCAATGAGTGTACAGCTCTCAGCAGCGAGGAGACCCACAGTGGGTAGATCCTCTTCATAGGCATGCTGTCCTATTATCTGCCCGAGTCTGAGTCTGGGGTTTTTATGGGCTTCAGAGTGGAGGAAGTGCATGCTGACTGGCCCACGGGCAGCCATAGGAAAGTCCAAAAAAGGCACAATAAATTCTCACTCTTATCTACAAAACTGGCAGACTGGCACCCAGACTTCAGACTGTTATTTGGTTGAAGGTGGAGTATCAGCAGAGACCTGCCCCTTTCCTCCTAGAAGCCTGTCTGCCTCCTGCTGCCATTCCTGGCACCTAGGCTGCCCATGCCAAAGGGTACCAGCAGGCCCGTGTGAGCCACCCTCAGTCCCCCCTCAGCCTCCTTCTTGTGCTCAATTGCATTCAAAGTCTGGAGGGGGCTGAGGCAGCAGGGGCTGCCTCCATCCATGAAGTAGGAGGACCTAATTGGTAGGAATGAGTCATGCTCACCTGTACTGCGCCCCTAGACTACCATAGTTATCGGTCTCTGGATTCCTCAGATGTAGATTACCTTTCTAGGGCCTCAAATCAAAGATTGGGATTGCCTCAGGAGGGTGTAGGGACTCAGTAATTAAGTCCCAGATGGCCCTCACCAAATTGCAGAGAGCAACCAGTGGGGCAGCCCCTCTGTTGCTTCCCTATGATAAGCAGGTAAAACTGTGGGAGCCAGTCTTCTTCAAACAAGGGAGAGAAAGGGAGTGCAGGGAATTGGGGACCTGGACTATAAATATGCCTCTCAAAAGGAAAAACAAATTAGTCTCTCACATAGAAAAATTCCCTGTATTGAATCCTCCCTAACTCATTTTATGAGGCCAGCATCATCCTGATACCAAAGCCGGGCAGAGACAAAACAAAAAAAGAGAATTTTAGACCAATATCCTTGATGAACATTGATGCAAAAATCCTCAATAAAATACTGGCAAACTGATTCAGCAGCACATCAAAAAGCTTATCCACCATGATCAAGTGGGCTTCATCCCTGGGATGCAAGGCTGGTTCAATATACACAAATCAATAAATGTAATCCAGCATATAAACAGAGCCAAAGGCAAAACCCACATGATTATCTCAATAGACGCAGAAAAGGCCTTTGGCAAAATTCAACAAGGCTTCATGCTAAAAACTCTCAATAAATTAGGTATTGATGGGACGTATCTCAAAATAATAAGAGCTATCTATGACAAACCCACAGCCAATATCATACTGAATGGGCAAAAACTGGAAGCATTCCCTTTGAAAACTGGCACAAGACAGGGATGCCCTCTCTCACCACTCCTATTCAACATAGTGTTGGAAGTTCTGGCCAGGGAAATTAGGCACGAGAAGGAAATAAAGGGTCTTCAGTTAGGAAAAGAGGAAGTCAAATTGTCCCTGTTTGCAGACGACATGATTGTATATCTAGAAAACCCCATTGTCTCAGCCCAAAATCTCCTTAAGCTGATAAGCAACTTCAGCAAAGTCTCAGGATACAAAATCAATGTACAAAAATCACAAGCATTCTTTTTTTTTTTTTTTTTTTTTTTTTTTGAGACGGAGTCTCGCTCTGTCCCCCAGGCCGGACTGCGGACTGCAGTGGCGCAATCTCGGCTCACTGCAAGCTCCGCTTCCCGGGTTCACGCCATTCTCCTGCCTCAGCCTCCCCAGTAGCTGGGACTACAGGCGCCCGCCACCGCGCCCGGCTAATTTTTTGTATTTTTAGTAGAGACGGGGTTTCACCTTGTTAGCCAGGATGGTCTCGATCTCCTGACCTCATGATCCACCCGCCTCGGCCTCCCAAAGTGCTGGGATTACAGGCGTGAGCCACCGCGCCCGGCCACAAGCATTCTTATACACGAACAACAGACAAACAGAGAGCCAAATCATGAGTGAACTCCCATTCATAGTTGCTTCAAAGAGAATAAAATACCTAGGAATCCAACTTACAAGGGATGTGAAGGACCTCTTCAAGGGAAAAATACAAACCACTGCTCAAGGAAATAAAAGAGGATACAAACAAATGGAAGAACATTCCATGCTCATGGGTAGGAAGAATCAATATCGTGAAAATGGCCATACTGCCCAAGGTAATTTACAGATTCAATGCCATCCCCATCAAGCTACCAATGACTTTCTTCACAGAACTGGAAAAAACTACTTTAAAGTTCATATGGAACCAAAAAAGAGCCCGCATCGCCAAGTCAATCCTAAGCCAAAAGAACAAAGCTGGAGGCATCACACTACCTGACTTCAAACTATACTACAGTAACCAAAACAGCATGGTACTGGTACCAAAACAGAGATATAGATCAATGGAACAGAACAGAGCCCTCAGAAATAACGCCGCTTATCTACAACTATCTGATCTTTGACAAACCTGAGAAAAACAAGCAATGGGGAAAGGATTCTCTATTTAATAAATGGTGCTGGGAAAACTGGCTGGCCATATGCAGAAAGCTGAAACTGGATCCCTTCCTTACACCTTATACAAAAATCAATTCAAGATGAATTAACGACTTAAACGTTAGACCTAAAATCATAAAAACCCTAGAAGAACACCTAGGCATTACCATTCAGGACATAGGCATGGGCAAGGACTTCATGTCTAAAACACCAAAAGCAATGGCAACAAAAGCCAAAATTGACAAATGGGATCTAATTAAACTAAAGAGCTTCTGCACAACAAAAGAAACTACCATCAGAGTGAACAGGCAACCTACAAAATGGGAGAAAATTTTCGCAACCTATTCAACTGACAAAGGGCTAATATCCAGAATCTACAATGAACTCAAACAAATTTACAAGAAAAAAACAAACAAACCCATCAAAAAGTGGGTGAAGGACATGAACAGACACTTCTCAAAAGAAGACATTTATGCAGCCAAAAAACACATGAAAGAATGCTCACCATCACTGGTCATCAGAGAAATGCAAATCAAAACCACAATGAGATACCATCTCACACCAGTTAGAATGGCAATCATTAAAAAGCCAGGAAACAACAGGTGCTGGAGAGGATGTGGAGAAATAGGAACACTTTTACACTGTTTGTGGGACTGTAAACTAGTTCTACCATTGTGGAAGTCAGTGTGGTGATTCCTCAGGGATCTAGAACTAGAAATACCATTTGACCCAGCCATCCCATTACTGGGTATATACCCAAAGGATTATAAATCATGCTGCTATAAAGACACATGCACACGTATGTTTATTGCGGCATTATTCACAATAGCAAAGACTTGGAACCAACCCAAATGTCCAACAATGATAGACTGGATTAAGAAAATGTGGCACATATACACCATGGAATACTATGCAGCCATAAAAAATGATGAGTTCATGTCCTTTGTAGGGACATGGATGAAATTGGAAATCATCATTCTCAGTAAACTATCGCAAGAACAAAAAAACCAAACACCGCATATTCTCACTCATAGGTGGGAATTGAACAATGAGAACACATGGATACAGGAAGGGGAACATCACACTCTGGGGACTGTTGTGGGGTGGGGGGACGGGGGAGGGATAGCATTGGGAGATACACCTAATGCTAGATGATGAGTTAGTGGGTGCAGCGCACCAGCATGGCACATGTATACAAATGTAACTAACCTGCACATTGTGCACATGTACCCTAAAACTTAAAGTATAAAAATAATGAATAAATTTAAAAAAAAGAAAAATTCCCTGTATTTGCAGGATAATATTAACTCCTGACATGATGAAGAAAAGAGAAGAAAACAAATTACGTGCAAGGAAGCGGAAGGTGCCTGGGGGAAACAGCTTCTTGCCCTATGCAAATGGGTTCTTCAATGGGAGAAATAAAACTCAATTATTACATGTTCATACTCCTACGAATTGGTAGATACCACAGTGTTCTCATTTATAATATACATTCCTGTTGACTAAGACAAATTCAAAATGCTCATTCTACTCAGGAATATTTATGTGGTTTGCAGCAGGACCCATAACATTGCATATAAAGAAGAGATAGGAGCCATGACCACCAAGAAAGGGAAGGGAAGGGAAGGGGAGGGGAGGGGAGGGGAAGGGAGGGGAAGGGTGGGGAAGGGTGGGGAAGGGTGGGGAAGGGAGGGGAAGAAGGGAAGGGAAGGGAGGGGAGGGGAAGGGAGGGGAAGGGAGGGGAAGGAAGGGGAAGGGAGGGGAAGGGAGGGGAAGGTAAGGGAAGGGAAGGGAGGGGAGGGGAGGGGAGGGGAGGGAAAGGAAGGGAAGGGGAGATGGAGGGAGGGAAAGAAAGGAAAAGAAAAGAAAAAAGAGAAAGAGGAAGAGGAACAGAAAGAGAAAGGAAAGGAAAGGAAAAAAAAGAAAAGAAGGAAGGACTAGGGGTTCTAGTGCCAACACTCTAACAAGTGGTTGGGGATTAAAGTTAGTTCAGGGGCCTTTGGATAACACTGAGGTGTAGCCTCAACCAGCTACCCTCAGTTGCCCCAGGACCTCCTTTGGATTCCATGCGATGTCTAGACCTCTGTGAAGGGAAATTGGATTGGAACAAAGCCAACATTCCTAACACTGGAAGGTGATTGGGGATTAACGGTTGCTTCTGGAGCAAGCCTGTCCTACATGTCTTAAGTCCCAAAGCTGCACTAGTCACTTTTCACTGGCTAACAGTGCTTCAGTGTTTTTCTTTCATTTTGGCTGTTGTGGAGTTTAGAGACTCTGAAAACAGGAGAGAAAGCTGAAAATCCGTTTTTTTTTTTGTTGTTGTTTTTTGTTTTGTTTTGTTTTTTTTGAGACAGAGTCTTGTTCTGTCTCCAGGCTGGAGTGCAGTTGTGCGATCTCAGCTCACTGCAACCTCCACCTCCTGGGTTCAAGCAATTCTCCTGCCTCAGCCTCCTGAGTAGCTGAGACTAGGTGTGCACCACCACACCCAGCTAATTTTTGTATTTTTAGTAGAGACAGGGTTTCACCATATTGGTCAGGCTGATCTCAAACTCCTGACCTCATGAGCCCGCCTTGGCCTCCCAAAGTGTTAGGATTACAAGCATGAGCCACCGTGCCCAGCCGCAAGTCCGTTTTTATTCAACCTTCTACAGATCCCAGAAAAGCCCCCCAAAATGTCACGGGATCCTTAAGGTGTCACTCCCTCAGCCAGAAAACTCTGTGGCTGGTGGCACCTTTGCCTGAGTTTTGTTTGAGCCCATGGGGCTCATTCTGTTCACTTGGCCAGGTAGGGTGTACTCGGCTTTTGCTACCAGCCTGGATCCCATGCATGCCAAGGCATGGAGTGTTGAGGAGACTGTGAGCGAGTGAGCATGCAATCTGGCCACTGTGTACAACCAGGCATGCCAGCTTCAGTAGGGTGGGCAGCTATAGGGACTGGCATAGCCACTGGCTTCCTGCTGCAATGGAACCAGGCATACCACAAGCAGCTTCCACTGTGGGCACTGGGGAACATGGTGGCACCCAGAATCTTGGAGACACCAGAAACTGCAGAGCTCCAAAGAGGTTGTCACATCTCTGGCTTAGGGAGCTCCTAGGTCTGGGATCCCTGAAGGGCCACAGCTCTTCTCTTCTCTCCTTCTCATCCACAATGTGGTGAGGAGGGGGCATGTTTCAGCTCTATTTTTATTGCGGCTCTTTCAGTCCTGCCGATCCGAGTTCTTGTCTTGTATCCAGGAAAAATGAGGTACACAGACAACTGGAGCAAGGCAAACAGGTCCTTTACTGAGTGACAGTTCAGCTCTCAGGAAACCTGGAGCGGGTAGCTTCTATCCACAGGCAGTTCATCTTGATGTGTGTACAGATCTCAGTGGAGAGGAGACACACAATGGGTACCTCTTCTCTGCAGGCAGGTTGTCCAAACGTCTCTGCAGCCCTCAGTGGAGAGGATTCCTGGAGCAGGTAGCTCCTACCCGCAGGGAGGTCATCCTGATGAGAGTACAGCTCTCAGCAGAGAGGAGACCCACAGCAGGTAGGTCCTATCCACAGTCAGGTCCTCCCATCATCTGCTCAAGTCTGGCTGAACCCAGGGTTTTTGTGGGGTTCAGAAGGGAAGAAGTACCTGCTGATTGGTCCATGAGCAGCCATAGACTGGCCTGGAAAAAGCACCATAAGTTCTCACTCTGGTCCTTGGAAGTGGCAGCCTGGCCCCCAGGCTTCAGACCATCTCTGGCTTGAAGGTAGGGTATCACCAGGGACCTGTTTCTTTCCACTCAGGAGCCTGTGTGTCTCCTGCCACTGTTCATGGTTCCCAGGCTCTTCGTGCCAAGGCGTGTCCATGCCAAGCCACCCTCAGACCCCCTCAGCCTCCTTCCTGTGCTGATCAGCACCCAAAGTCTGGAGGGGGCCAAGGTGGCAAGAGGCTGGCATGTCAGCACCACCCTGAGCATGTGCACACCCAGCCGGGTCGTGACAGTGCCTGGGCTTGGCCACAACTTTACTCTGAAATCAGAGTGGGCATGAGAAGCAGGAAGAGGCCAGGCAGGAGGAGCAAGCACTTCTAAGCCTGCAGGGGCACTGGGGCTTCCCAGGTCCCTAAGAGCACAGGGGTGCCTGGGTTCCTGGCTGCCACTGGATGGCTGCAGCTGTGCCTGAGAGCGCTGGGCTCTTGTCCCACCAACTTGGAAGGGGTGGGTGGGGGGCTTCCACAAGTTACCTGCACTGTGGAACCAGCAGCCCTGGCCGCGCCTCCCCCACTGCAGCCAGTCTCTTTGCAGCAGTGGCAACAGACCCAGACCGGCCGCTTCTGTCATCAGTTATGCATTTCAATCGCTGAATGTAACTAGCCAATGTAAAGAAATCATAAATAATTATCAGCTGGAGATAATGCTATAGTTTTGTTTTAAAGGAAAAATTTCAAACATTTACTTCTTTTTGTTTGAATCTGGGTTTTATAAATTTGCAAAATGTGCAAAAATCTAAGGCTTACATGTACAGAATTTCATGCACAATGATTGTTAAATGCTGAGACACCTATTACATTGAAAATAAACAGTAGAAATAAAATCTGGCAGCTTTAAATGTCCCAGTTGCATCAACACCAACACCATTTATTTATAATATTTTATGGAAAGACAAACAAGTCCCACTCAGAGGGCTCAGAACATCATTAGTCACAGGGCAGTCCACGACTAAAAATAAAGATTCCTATCAAAACTGTATACTACTTTAGTGCCTTTTAAATATTAAAATGAAGAGGGGCATGAATTGTAACTAAATTTTCTATAAATAATATACAAAAGTCTATATGTTAAACATCTGTTTAGATTTCTATTGTAAAGATAAAGCATTTTCCCTTTATTAAAACTATTTACATATACCATATATATATATATATATATATATATATATATATATATATATATATATATATCAAATGCCATATATATATCTGGCATTTGAACCAGACATCAAATACATTTTTCCTTTCTGGAGATATCTTTGGTTGATATAACCTACTGAAGATGATCTGATCATTAGCATTAAATTTGAATCACAAGCTTATTATATTTATATTTTCCCTTAATTCCTCATGCACTTTATAAGTTTTGGAAAGTGAGGATGGTCATGGCCAACTGGAGGAAAATATTAAAGAAAAGTGTCTGTTACTATTTAGATACATTTGAAAACCTGTCCTCTCAGTCAATATTTCAGGAATTCAGATTAAGAGATATTAAAAGGAAGGAGGTCTACCAAATAAAGAGTGAAATACTTGAAAGGGTTGTAATAAATGAAAGTGTGTAACTTAACCACAAACCTCCATTGTTCATTCATTCATCTGTTCATTAATTCATTTGACTAATGCTTATTTATTACCTACAGAATTTTATAATCTATTCTAGGAAGTGAAAATAAGTGAATGAAAGAGACAAAAGTCTCTAATATTATACAAAGCTTATATTATATTGAAATAAGTCAAATCAAGAGTAATAAAATTCATGAATAATATTCAAATGATCATGAGTGTTCTGGGGAAAACTATAAAGCAGAGAAGGAAGATAGGTTGTATGTATTAGGAGGGCCCAGGGGAGACAGAGAGGAGTCATATATGTATTAAAGCAAAGGCAATGAGGAATGGTGTGGGAATTCTGGTTTCTTTGTGATGACCTACAGAAATAGGGTAGAGAATTGTAATAATACTAGGCCTGGTGGCCTCAAAGCTGATAACACCAGTAATCTTCAAGACATAAGGAAAACCCTTGGTAAACATTTGCCTCTCTTTTATCTCTCATCTTGTCCCAGTGACTTGAGGGAACTCTTTTTTTTTTTTTTTCCTTCCCTTCAACTCTGCTTTAGTAGAATTCTTATCTCAGTTCTTGGTTAGCACAGGTCCTATCATAGTACTTACTTATTAGGTATCACACTTATAGTTCTTGACATTTTATATGTCACATACTGCTGTAAAGCCTGTAGAAAGGTCTGCTTTTTTATTCTACTAGTAAGCTAACAATTTAGCCTACCAAAATTTTATAGATACTAGCAGGAGACAGGGACTCCTGGGTCAGAGACGAAGGAGCACAGCACAGCAGGCAATAAGATGTGATTAGGATTGGTTAGGAAATCATCAACTTTATAAGAGGCATGCTGTAAGACCTGCCCTATCTTTCCCCTTGAAGGAGACATTATCTTTATTTACCTGGTAAAGAAATTAATCTACCCTCTGCACTGGAAGGAAACACTATTTCTCTTTTCAAAGGCTGTTTGCTATACAAAAATCCTTGAAAAACTAGTTCAGAACAAAGCTGTCAATGGCGCTTTACAAGATGTGTACAATCACCAGAATCTCATGGAGAACTGTCTCCCAATGGCTACATGATTGCTCACTCAACAATCTTATACAAATTACCAAAATTTTCATGCTTACCATTGAGATTTGCAATTCTGAGTCTCTTCTCTCCTGGTCAAACTGTGTTGACTCCTGAATCCAATTTCCTAATTCTATGGTTTGTCCAAATCCAGTCTCCTATATATCATATTCATATTATAAAATTTAATTAAAATTATATTAATATAACAGATAATCTGAATCTTATAGAAATTATGAAGTAGCCAAAATTTTTATTTCAATATCCTCAAATTTTCCTACTATATATTTTTTTCTTTACATCTTGATAATATTTGTTTTATTATTGGCTTTCTTGCCTTAAGGAAAATAATGTAAAAACAATTTATTCTAGTGTTAATAAAATAATAGACTGATTTAATTACCCCTTCAAGAGCATTTCCACTTTAACAAGTGTACAGTCATAACCAAAGTAATTGTTATTATTTGTACAAGTAATAAGGGTTAATTGAAAAGCTCTGTTGAGGCAGAATAAGCCTTTTGTGTCTCTATCTAATTCAGAAAAAGATTCCATTTGGTGTGTGGCCTCAGGTGCATGAAGCAGACCCAAGAGACCAGGACCTGTTTTATCCTGAGCAGCTCTGCTTTTATCTATGTTATATATTGGACCAGCACCAGAAATCTCACTGAATTAAAAGCTTTGTAGCTAAAGATAGAAAAAAACCGTCATCAACAAAACAAATCTGAAGGTCACTGGTCTAATTTATTTATGACTTGGAACTCACTATACCTTGAGTTCTTTCATTTTTACTCCCGTCATTTGTTTAAACATTATTAATTAAGGTGGCATCATTTGGTACAGATTTTCTATCTACGATTTATCTTAACCAAGGAGCTATTTTCTAAGCTGAACTTGCCTTGGTAAAATCTGGGAAAATATTAGTTCATGGTGATTAATGATTCTATATTCTAGACAATAAATGCTGTTGTTTACATAGAGTATATAAATATATTTTAGGATATTCAGATTACCTGAGGAAAATATTTCTTTCAACTTGCTTAAGGGGCATTTACTTCTAATTTCTATATAATTAGAAAAGATGCATTTTCTATTTGTTGCCACAAGATGTAGTGTCTGTGAGTGCTTAAAACTTCTGACAATCTAAGAGTGTGACTTTTGATTTGTAGAATAGTGTCAAGTATCATGGGCATTATTGGTGGGGATTTGCATTATGATTTTCCAGAAAAAAAATGGTTCTTGTTTCTATGACTGTATTCCCAGAATACCCAATTACTTCAGCTCAACAAGAAATACCAAACTCTTCTTTCGATCTTAGTGACTCAATCATTAAAACTGCATGACAGAAATTTTCTTATAATATGCAATAGGGAATTAATATTCCTCAGAATCAAAATATTGCTTGTCTTTTCTTTAGGGTTTTATTTTTCTTTTCAAAAAAAGCATTAAAAACAGGTATTTTTCCCAAGCAATTATGTTATTAAAATTCAAAGCTAATTTAATTTGATTACTATTCTTAAGGAAAAGAAACTTTAAAAAATTATTAAAGCTTTGTCAATGTTTTTGATTTTCACAGAAATTTAAATATTCACAGTCTACAGAAAATTCTCCCCAGTCGGCCTTGCGGCACTGTCCCTCACCTTGAGGGCATGTTTGGCTTTAGTCTGCATGATCATTTGCTAAACACATTGTGGTGATCTGTCTACCTTGGTTGACAGCCTTGAGTCCTGTCTAAGGCTAGGCTGCATTCCTCCAGGAGTTTCAGAAATAAATCACTGACACTTCTACTGCCTATAAAACCTAGGAAATCAATATGCTTCTCTCTATATGTGGGCTTCCAGGAAGATTTCTTATAAAAATTATCAAATAAGTACTGCTTGATAACTGAACTAGATCTAATATCAAGCCTGTAAAGCTGCCATTCTGGAACATACTGTAAAGTAAATGCTAATGTAAATTTAATCTGTACATTTAAAAAACACCATATGGTCTTCATAGAAATTCCCTTTTAGTAAGGCCTCTATGCCCTAAAAAGTATATAACCTTCTAACTTTTGTATCATAAGTTTTCAGACACTTATTCTGTATATGTGTAAGATTTCTCTTCAAAAATTTTAGCAACTGTTTGTGTATTTGTTTATTTGCTTATATTTTGTCTTTATTTCATCTTTATTATATGGTTCTGAAATAATCTGTTTTGTGATTCCTTAATCTTCAATAAAAATATAAATTTCAGAAATTTATATATTTGTATATATCTATAGTTTGAAAATTTACGAGTATAAATTTTATTTATAAAACTATGTTAATTTTTCAAGTGAATTTTTTCTAGTTTACGTTTATCAATTTATGAATTTTCTGAAGATGGGACCATTTAACCATTCTTTTAATAGCGATTACACTTGATTACATTTTTTTCTGGCTTATTAATTTGTGTTTTGTATCTATTTTTAAAAATTTGAGCTGAAAACTAATGAATTTTAAAACTTGTGAAATGCAGCTATGCTTAAAAGAAAACATAAATTTAAGCTTGTGTATTAGAAGAAAGTACATGCTGAAAATACAGAAATTATCTAACTCTAAGAAAGAAACTAAATAAAAATGTGAAATAAAAAATTAAAGAAATAGATAACAACTAATGATATTGAAAAATATACAAACAATGGACAAGATCAATTAAACAGTTGATTCTTTAAAATTACTAACAAAACTGATGAGGAAAATAAAACTACTAAAAAGATTAAAAGTATCAAGAACTTTAAAAGGTGTAATTGCTGTTTATAGTCTGTATTACTATAAAAATTTTAAAAAGGTATAAATTTATGCCATAACTATAAAAATATATCATGTAAATATTTCTAGAAAAAAATGCATTTTACTGAAACTAACTCAAGAAGATTTGAAATCTCATATTATTATAACTATTAAAAAGTGTAGTGCATAATATCAAACCTTCTCACAAAGGAACTATTGAATCAGGTGGCATTACTAGTGAATAAATAATGTTAATCCTACAAATACTACTACAGAAAATAAAGCTTTGACAAGACCAGCATAAACTTGTTATCTAAACACAATTCAATTTATACAAGTGTAAATACTCCTAAAGTTACATTGTAGATTCAATGTAATCATAATGATTCAAAGTTTTTTGCGTTTTTATGTGCAACTTGACAAATGATTTTAAATTTATATGAAATTTCAAAGGCCAAGAGTAGAGATTTTTAAAATATGAGAATAATGAGGGAAATGTGCTTTACTGACAAATTGAATTTAAATAAAGTAGGTGAACAATAAAAGCAAACAAGACTGCAGAATATTGACTTATCCTTTCTCATAGAAGAATAGAGAAAATATTTTTCACACTCTGAATGATAATTTTACAAATCAAGTCATTCTTGTCATACTCAATTAATCAGAATCGAAAGTCAGTTGGGGCATATAGCACTGCTCCAAGAACTGAATTCTCTGCCAGCTGCAGAAACAGTCTGCTGCAACCTTAAGACCAGTTTTACCTAGTAGCGGGTTAAACCACCTGCCATGACTCTAAAATTAGTATCACCTATCACCGTCACTCACCAATCAGAGTTTACTGACTCCAAAAAGATTCGTTAGTGCCCATGAGCTTTCTTTCAAAACCATATGCAATATTTATCTTCCTAATAAAACCCTAACTTTTTCTTTGCTCTTCAGACATATCAAAGACCACCAGATCTACGTGTATGCTCTGAATTGCAATTTTTGCTTCTCCAAATAAAATGTTAAATTTAGACATTAATCCCTACAATGTATGTTGAGTTTGACAATACTATTTCTACATACTTAAATTTATTTATTTCAATTTTTTTACAAGAACACCAAACATCCTTTATTAGCACAAAAAAGTAGCTGTAACAAGGCACATCAAGCAGAAACATGCATTACTAGTCAAAGGGTTAGTGGTGTATTCAAATACAGCTATGCTTTTTTTTTGTAGCCTTGGCAATAGCCATAGGGATGTAAAAACACATTTTGTAGCAGCTAGTGTAGAAACCATGGAGCACTCACCAGTAGTACAGAGCACAGTCACAAAAAGACATAAGAATGGATTTGGCTATTTTACTGCCAAATATCTAGAACTGTACATTCAGTTCTCTTACTTAGAAGTGAACACTAGAACTTGAAATAACTTCAAGAACAGCTCACTCCAGTAATGATACATATTATTCTAAATGATAAAAAGGAGCTAAGCAATTTATGGATATAATGTTTATGCAGTACCTTTTAAATCTAAATTTTAGATTTCAGATTTCCCACTAAGAATTAACTGCACTGAGATTCTAAAAATTATACTTAATTCAGCTATGAGAGTTTACAACAAAGAGATAAGTACTGCTATCCAAATTATTAATTATAGTTTAACAATAATCTCAACATCACCAACCACTGAAGTTCTTATTTTCTGACTTGATCGGAAATCTTCTAGTTTCATTTTCTTCATGGTTCACAAACTAATTATGGGCATAGGAAAATATCCAGTTTTTATGAAACAACAATTAGACTGCATGTCAACTTAAAAAAAAAAATGACATGGAAGAATACATTGTAGCAGCTATTCCAAATACTTGTTTTAAATCAAAGCACTCGTTAAAAAATCGGTACTTAGGGCCTTTAAATAAAATTCTACTACTAACATTGTAAGCCTGAAATTTTAAGACTGACTATTCAGAAAAGCTGGTTTATTTACCAGTACCTTTTGCAGAGGAGAAAAGCAGTGTAACTATAAACTACTTCAACACTTAATTGAACAGCACTATGCCCTTGTGGCCAGAAACTTCCTTTTTTTTTTTTCTTAAAAGGAAGGCAGTCTTTTATTTTTTTGGACTCCCAAAGCTTGAATTATAGCAACTACAAACATCACTACTTCTGGAAGATTATAGAAAAACTCTCAGACAAAATAATTTCAAACAGTCACAATGCTGAAATACTCATCCAATATTAAGCATTTGTCCTTCAGAAAGTAATAGAATTCTTCATAACAAATGCCCCAGCGTTACCTCACTGAATTACTACAGCCATTAAAAACTGTTAGCTAAATCACCAAAATGTTTTTGCAGTCTTACTGAATACCTGTAGTTCTATCCTGTTGTTTCAATAGGCACCACGTTTATCTGAATAAGTAACAGCAGATCTGAATAAGTAACAGCATCTGACAGATACAAACACTAAGTTTACATACTGTATGAAAAAACCCACCACTGATGTGTGTGTTGCTATAGGTGTGCTATCTCATCCACATGAAAGCAGACCTAGTTAATACCCTCTGAGGACAGGAGAGTTTATGTTGGCTTGACTGGTCCTCATTTTAACTTCTGAATCCTAACTTTTTGTTTATAATGATACTTTTAAAAATTCCTGTAACATTGACGGTAAAGGGATCCAATCAATCCATCGTATATAGTGCACCTGCAGATTACCACATGGCAGATATATCGCAGGCTAAAAGGAGAAGTCCCATCTAGAGATATAGCAAGCAACAGTCCAAAAAACATGCAAGACCTAGGATCTTTATAAAGTTCTAAAAGTTCTGTTACAGTATAGAAGTGAAATCCACACGAGTCATGGACATCAAAACTAAAGTTGTGAATCCGCTGCTCAATTTGCGTATGCAGGGATCTGCTGTCATGGCAAAAGCTCAGAGAAGAGGCTGTCCTTGTGCTCAGAGTCCATGAGCAAAATTTGCCTTTAGGTTTCCCTTGGGAAAGGTCCATCACTCCACAGTAACAGGGATTCCCTGTAATCTAGAGCAAATAGGACAGGAGGCAGTGTATGTAATCAATCTGTGGACTGTCCATGCTCCCTATCTGGTCACGTGGGCATGGCTGTCTCCAGATACCTGACGCTGCTTCTCCCTCAATGACTACAAACACAGGGTGGTCCTCTCCTCTTCCAAGTCACAATTAGCTTGCAGGACTGCAGAGCTGTTTCCTCTTATTTCAGTCATTCCAGGAATTAACTTTGGTCTCAGCTTATCTAATGGGTTAACCTGTGGAGTAGCTTCAAATGTATGTATTTGTGCATTAGGAGGGGAATCAACTTCTTTAATACTAAGCCATCTTCTCCATCTTGTCTTCTGTAGAAACTAAATATGGATTAAATGTATCAAAAATGTTGAATGTGGACTCACAGGAGCTGTATGCTGTTGAATCAAATGCCATTTTTGGGCTAAATGTGAACCAGTAGGAAAAGGACATTTCTCAAGCATTAATTCAGAAAGGCAGATTTTTCTTTATTAGAGAAAGGAGGTTTGACTGCAATATTTTAAATAATTTTGTACATGAAAGAAATTTTGTGTACATCAAACCATCAGAAAGCAAAGGTGTCAGATGTGGAATGTTCCACTTGTGGTGTCATGTCAGTTCTCAAAGAGTTTCTATTTAGGAGAATTTCAGATTTTGGATTTTTAGAATAGCAATGTTCAATCTGTATATCATGGTGGTTTTAACCCATATTTACTATATGATTAGAGAAATTTGTCAGATTTTCTATTCTGTTGTGTTTCTAGGTAGAGTCCGAATATCCTGTGTATGAGTATTATGTCAAATATATTATTGAAAACATATTTCTCCACTTTGCCTATTGACTTATATGCTCTTAGTAGTTCAGTTTATAAACAAAAATAATTATTTTTTTCTGTTATTCTCTACTGATTAATATTTTTTGCATGAGGTACCTAAATCTCGGTCAACCCTAGTGTCACAAAGTTGTTAAGTTTTCCTGTGAAAGTTGTATTTGTTTATAGATACATAGATAAAAACAAAGTTGTATATTTTTATCTTCTATATCTGTGACTTTAAATATATTGTGACACCATTCTGAGTTCATGGTGTCATCTTATTGTGACTTGGCACACAGTTTAGAAATTTACAGAGTTATTGGCATATTTCTTCTTCTCTCACTTTAAAAACTGTTTTGAAAGAATTTGTCCAAGTCTTTCTAATTTTCAAATTTATTAGCAAATATAGAAGTCGAGGCTGGGCGCGGTGACTCACACCTGTAATCCCAGCTCTTTGGGAGGTCAAGGTGGGCAGACCATGAGGTCAGGAGATGGAGACCATCCTGGCCAACATGGTGAAACCCAGTCTATACTAAAAATACAAAAATTAGCTAGGCTTAGTGGCGAGTGCCTGTAATCCCAGCTACTCAGGAGGCTGAGGTGGGAGAATCTCTTGAACCTGGGAGGCAGTAAGCTGAGATCATACCACACTGCACTCCAGCCTGGCAACAGAGCTAGATTCTGTCTCAAAAAAAAAAAAAAAAAAAAAAAAAAAGAAGTTGAAAACCACTTCATATTATCTCCTCTTTAAATCTATCATGATGTTCCCCATTCAATCCTAATAATTATAGCCTGTGTTATTTTTTTCTCTCCCTGTTATTTCTTTTTGTACAGATTATCAAAACTCTTATCAAATATAACTTTTAAAAAAACAAACTTTTGACATCGTTGAATTTTTCCATTATACATTGGTTTTGATTTAATTAATTTAAAATGTGGAGCATTTGCAAGTGAAAACAAAAAATATTTAAACATATTTGCCCTAAAATAAATGTGCTTATTCATTTTTGTGTTTCTTCCAGTTTTTCATTTACAAATGTAATTTTCTTTTACTAATTTTTTTCTGAAGCAATCTTATCTCATTTTTTGAGATTCTCATTTGGAAATAGCAAACTACAGGATTTACCTGCTTTGTGAGCACGCATCTAAGTTATACTTTTATTGTGTACAGGAAGGTTATTCTATTATTTATTTCTTCTTTCCTAAAATAATTTTAGATGAGTTTGACCTAAACATTTTCTGTTTCTCAATTTTATATTAAATTAGTTTTCCTAAAACACTAAGAATGAGACAGAGTTCGGAATAATTTTTCAAACTTAAAAAAAGTTATTGGAATAAAGGTGTTCCTAAAATTTTTAAATATTTTATACTTTTAGGTTTGAAATGGTAGCCCCTCATTTATACTCACAATTTTAAATTGTCACCCTTTCCCTGTCTTTCTCTTTCTCTATTTTTTAATCACTCCTGTTACAGGTTTGTCAATTGTGTTAATAGTTTAAAAGAACAAACATTTTTATGTATTAATATACTGTTTGTCCATTTCCTGTGTCATTGATTGCTTTTCTTATCTTTATCAGTTCTCTTCTTCTACATACTTTGCATTCAATTTACTTGTTCTTTTCTAGCTTTGTAAATGGAACATTCAGATAATTGGTTTTAGGCCATTCTTCCTTTCTATTATAAGAATAAAAAATCTATACACTTTTATCTAAGCATTTTAGTTCCCTCCCACAAACACTGATGTTTAATATGTTCATTCTGATTTATTCAAAATATTTTCAAATTTTACCTATGATGTCTTCTTTGATCCAAGGATTATTTAAAAGTGAGGTTTTTTTTGTTGTTGTTGTTGTTGTTTTTTTGTTTTGCCAGTAACAGAGGCTCTACATTTCTCTGAGGTGGAGCTCCCAGAGGCAACCAAAGACTCCATTGTCACTACCACTGCATTGATACTGCCCTTGCTGGCCTCAGACTGGGTAAGGAGCAAAGACCCGGAGTGCTTTAACAACACCTCAAGCAAGTCACAGCTGCCCTAAGGAGAAGAGATCACTCTGCTCCCCAACAAGCTCCCCATGCCCCTGGTCATCTCCAGGCAGGGCCCCTCAGCTTGGGCCCACATCACAGCTATCCCACTCTAGGTTGATACACCAAGAAGTTCTGCATTCTTCTGGGGTAGAGCCCCAAGATACTATTGGAAGGCCCTCTGCCGCAGCAACTGCCAGAGTCCCTTCCCCTGCTGCCTCTAACCTGAGGAAGAAACAAAGCCTGAGTTCACCCAAGGACTGTGGTGTGCAGCCTGGGAGTGCCAAGTTGAGATCTGCAGTCAGCACTTCAGCAGGGGAGGAGCCCACACTTTCAGAGCACTGAGAGGGAGCATGGCTGCAAACATGAGGAAATAGAGAGGAGCCACATGGCTGAGCAAGAGCCTATCTACTAGCCATTATGCTTATGAGCCATCTATTGGATCACAACCCAAACTTCAACACCAAAAATACTTTGCTAATATACCACCCTGTGAAATCATTGTCCAAAACTCAGATACAAATAGAGACCCTGTACAAAGTATTAGCCCCCTGGAAACAACCAGAAAAGAAGTCAACTGATGGTACTCAAATTATATCACATTAAAGGAGCATCAACCCACACAGATGAGAAGGAATCAGCTCAAGAACTCTGGCAACTCAAATGGTCAGCATGTCCCCTGTTGTCCAAACAGCCACATTAGCTCCCCAGCAAGAGTTGTTAACTGGGTTGAAATGGCTGAAATGAGAGAAATAGAATTCAGAATATAAGTAAGAATGAAGATCATTGAGATTCAGGAAAAAGTTGAAACTCAATTCAAGGAATCTTCAGAAAATAATGATACATAAGCTGATAGATGAAACAGCCATTATAAGAAAGAACCAAACTGATCTGATAGAACTGGAAAACACACAACTATTTCATAAGGCAGTTGCAAGTGTTAAGAGCAAAATAAAGTAAGCTAAGGAAAGAATTTCAGAGCTCGAAGACTGGTTCAAGGAAGTAACTCTGTCAGACAAAAATAAAGGAAATAACCAAAATGAACAAAGAAACCCTTCAGGAAATATTGGATTATGTAAAGAGAGCAAATCTATTATCTATTTGTGTCCCTAAAGAAGATGGAGAGAAAGCAACCAACTTGGATAACATATTTCAGGATATCATCTGTGAAAATTTCCCAACCTCATTGGAGTGGTCAACATTCAAATTCATGAAATGTACAGAATGCCTACAAGATACTACACAAAAGGCCATCTCTAAGACACATAGTCATCAGATTATCCAAGGTTAAAAATGAAAGAAAAAAATGTTAAAGGCAGCTAGAGGGAAAGTGTAGGTCACCTACAAAGGAACCCCATCAAGCTGACAGTGGACCTTTCAACAGAAACCAGAAGAGGTTCAGCATTCTCAAAGAAAAGAAACTCCAACCAAGAATTTATATCCAGCCAAACTAAGCTTCATAAGCAAAGGAGAAATAGATCGTTTTCAGATAAACAAATGCTAAAGGAATTCACTACGACCAGACCTGCCTTACAAGAGGTCCTGAAGGAAACACTAAAAAGGAAAGACGGTTACCAGCCACTAGAAAAAACACACTGAATAATACAGACCAGTGACCCTATAAAACAACCACATAAACAGGTCTTCATAATAACCAGCTAACAACAGGATGAAAGGATCAAATCCACGCACATCAATATTAACCCTGAATGTAAACAGGCGGAATGTCCCAATCAGAAGGCACAGAGTGACAAGCTGGATAAGAAGGCAAGACCTAATGGTACGCTGTCTTCAAAAGACTGATCTCACAAGCAATGACACTTATAAGCTCAAAGTAAAGGGATGGAGATAAATCTAAAAAGCACATGAAAAACAGAAAAAAGCAGGGATTACCATCTGCATTTTCCAACAAAATAGAGAACAGCATGGGAAAGACCCAGCCCCATGACAATACCTTCCACCAGTTTCCTCCCACAACATATGGGAACTGTGGGAGTTACATTGCAAGATGAGATTTGGGTTGGGACACAGCCAAACCATATCATTCTGACTCTGGACCCTCCCAAACCTCATGACCTCACATTTCAAAACCAATCAGGCTTTCCAACAGTCCCTCAAAATCCTAACTCATTTCAGCATTAACTCAAAAGTCCACAGTCCAAAGTTTCATCAGAGACAAGGCAAGTCCCTTCCACCTATGAGCCTGTAAAATAAAAAGCAAGTTAGTTACATCCCAGATACAATGGGGATACAGGCATTGGGTAAATACTGCCAATTCAAATGGGAGAAATTGGCCAAAACAAAGGGGCTATATAACCCATGCAAGTAAAAATTCAAGCAGGGCTGTCAAATCTTAAAGCTCCAAAATGATCTCTTTGACTCCATGTCTCACAGCCAGGTCAAGCTCATGCAAGAGGTGGGTTCCCATTGTCTTGGGAAGCTCTGCCCCTGTGGCTCTGCATGGTACAGTCTCCCTCCCAGCTGCTTTCAAGGACTCATGTTGACTGCCTGTGGCTTTTGCAGGTGCATGGTGCAAACCGTCACTGAATCTAATATTGTGGAGTCTGGAGGAGCATGGCCCTCTTTTCACAGCTTCACTAGGCAGTACCCCAGTGGGGACTATGTGTGGGGGCTTCAATCCTACATTTCCCTTTTTCACTGCCCTAGAAGAGGTTCTCCATGAGGGCCCTGCCCCTGCAGCAAACTTCTGCCTGAACATCCAGGTGTTTCCATATATCCTCTGAAATATAGGCAGAGGTTCCCAAACTTCAATTCTTGACTTCTGTGCACCCACAGGCTCAACACAACATGGAAGCTTCCAAGGCTTGGGGCTTGTAACCTCTGAAGCCATGGCCTGAGCTGCACCTTGGCACCTTTTAGCCATGGCTACAGTCACTGGGACACAGGGCACCAAGTCCCTAGGCTGCACACAGTAGGGGTCCCTGGGCCTGGCGCACAAAACCATTTTTTCCTACTAAGCCTCTGGGCATGTGATGGGAGGAGCTTCTGTAAAGGTCTATGACAAGCACTATAGAAAGTTTCCCCATTGTCTTGGTGATTAATATTTGGTTCCTCATTACTTATGCAAATTTCTACAGCCAACTTGAATTTCTCCTCAGAAAATGAGTTTTTCTTTTCCAATGCATCATCAGGCTACAAATTTTCTGAACTTTTATGCTCTGTTTTCCTTTTAAAACCAAATGCTTTTAACATTTGGTCACCTCTTGAATGCTTTGCTTCTTAGAAATTTCTTCTACCTTATACCTTAAATCACTTCCCTCAAGTTCAAAATTCCACGAATCTCTAGGGCAGATGCAAAATGCCACCAGTCTCTTTGCTAAAACATAGCAAGAGACACATTTACTCCATTTCCCAACAAGTTCCTCATCTCCATGTGAGACCACCTCAGCCTGAATTTTATTCTCCATATTATTATCAGCATTTTGGTCAAATCCACTCTACAAGTCTCTAGGAAGTTCCAAACTTTCCCGCATTTTCCTGTTTTCTTCTGAGCCCTCCAAACTGTTCCAACCTCTGCTTGTTAACTAGTTCCAAAGTTAATTCCACATTTTTTAGTATCTTTACAGCAGTAACCCACTTTATTGGTGCAATTTACAGCATTAGCCTGTTTTCATGCTGCATAGACATACACAATACTGGGTAATTTTTTTTAAAAAAGAGGTTTAATTGACTCACAGTTCCACATGCCTGGGGAAGGTTCACAATCATGGCAGAAAGCAAAAGGCACATATTACATGGCAGCAGGCAAGAGAAAATGAAAAACCAAGCAAATGGGGAAACCCCCTATAAAAACCACCAGATCTCATGAGACTGATTCACTACTATGAGAACAGTATAGGGGAAATCACTCCCCTGATTCAATTATCTTCCACCGAGTCCCTCCCACAACATGTGGAAATTATGGGAGCCATAATTCAACATAAGATTTGGGTGGGGACACAGCAAAACTGTATCAGGTATCTAATTAATTTCTAATTTGCTTCTGTTGTGGTCAGAGAACATACTATGTAAGAGTTCTCTTTGAGCTTGAATGACACTTGTTTTATGGCACAGTTCAAGACATATCAGTAAATGTCCCATGTTTAATTCAGAAGAATTTGTATTCTCTGGGTGTTGGAAATAGTCTTCTATAAATGTTATCAGATATAATGATCAATAGTGACAATCAGGTGTTCCATATTCTTTAATAAGGTTTTGTCTAGTTGGTCTGACAGTGCTTTAAAGATTCCAACTATACTTATGAATTTTTCCCTTTAGCTTGCTAGATCATATTTCACTTATTTTGTGGTTCTATTATTATTTATATATCTAGGGAATGCACATATACAAATATTATGTTTTCCTGATATATTGACCCTGTAATTACTATGAAATGTCATTTGCCTCTGGTAATATTCCTTGTCTAAACTTCCATTTGTTTTTATATTAGGTAGTCACTTTAGTCCTTCCATCTTTATTTACTACTATTCATGTGTACCTGTACAGAACATGTATACAGTATCATATAGAATAGTTTCACCACCCTAAAAATCCTGTGCTTTACACATTTCTCCCAAACTACCTCCTCCCAATTTTCTAGCAATCACTGATTCTTTACAGTCTCCATAGATTTGCAAATCTGAAAACAAATATTATTTATGTCCTTTTTTACTCCTGTTCTTTTAAGTTTCCAGGGTTATTATTTCTGTTGTATCAGTGGGTGCAGTTAGTAATTAAAACTTCATTATTTTTTCCCTTTTTAATCATCTCCTATTTTCCTTTAGACCTTTTGTCTGGAAGAATTGTATGCAAGAGAGACTAAAGTATTTTAACCAAAAAATATTTTTATATAGCTTAACCAGGAAGATATACTATGTTTAAAAATTATTCAGCACAAAATTGGAAAATTTTAAAATATTTTAAAATGAGCTTACATAATCTCTACCCCTTGCTCTTTAATAGTCATTTTCTTCTCCCCTCTCTTTGAGTGTTCAGAAAAATAGTCAAAGAGTGTCACAGGATCCTTAGGGTGTCACTTTTCCAGCTGGAAGCCTCTTTGGCTGGTGGCTCCCTTGCCTGTGTTTTGCTTGGGCCCACTGGACTTGCTCCACCCACTCAACCTGGAAGGCTGTGCTTGGCTCATGCTACTGGCCTAAATCTTACACCTGCCAAGGGTGATCCCAGTGTGTAACAGTGAGATGTGCATGAGTGAGCAAGCGTGGGATCTGCCCACTGCACACAGCCGGGCACACTAGCTGCTGCAGCGTGGTAGGCAGCTCCAGGTGCCAGCACAGGTGCCGGCTCTGTGGGAGGCTGTATCTGGACAAGGCATACCTAAGCAGCTTCAACTGTAGGCTCTGGAAAACACTGTGTTGCCCAGAAGCTTGGAGATGCCAGGAACTGCAGAGCCCCAAAGAGGGTGTCACAGCCTTGGATCAGGGAGGCCTTAGGTCTGGGCATCCGGAAGGGCCACAGCTCTTCTGTCCTTCTCATCACTTGTAACATGGTGAGCATGGGGGGCAGGAGGTCAGGGGGGACGTGTTTCAGTCCCATTTGTGTTACAGTTCTTTCAGTTCCACCATTCAGTGGGTCCCAAGATCTTGTCCTACATCTAGGAAGAAAGAGGTACGTGGAAAACTGAAGGGTGAGCAAGCCAAAGAAGTGCTTTATTGAGCAACAGTACAGCCCTGAGGAGATCCAACTTGGGTAGCTCCTTTCCACAGGCAGGACTTGTCCCATCGAGCCTGCAGCCCTCAACAAAGAAGATACCTAGAGTGGGTAGCTCCTATTTGCAGGCAGGTTGTCCTGATGTCTGCAACCCTCAGTGGAGGGGAGACCTGGAATAGGAGGCTCCTCTCTACAGGCAGGTTGTCCTGATGTCTGTGGCCCTCAGCAGAGAGGAGACCTGGAGTGGGTAGCTCCTATCTCCAGGGAGGTCATGCTGACATCTCTGTGAGTCTGGCTGAGTCTGGGGTTTTTACTGGCTTCAGAAGGGACAAAGTGCATGTTGATTGGTCCATAGGTAGCCATGGGCAGGCCCAGGAAAAGCACCATGAGTTCTCACTCTGGACCGCAGACTCCACTCAGAATTAACAGCCCTGCCCTCATGCCTTAGGCAGTCCCTGGCTTGAAGGTGGAGCTTCACTGTGGACCGGCCCCTTCCCACCCAGGAGCCTGTCTGCCTCCTGCCACCATCTGCATGTCAACTACAGTGCCCAGGCTGTCCATTCCAAGAGGCATCTGCAGGCCCCTGCCAAGCTGCCCTCAGCCCTTCCCTCAGCCTCACTCCCATGCTTGTTGGCACTTAAAGTCCAGAGGGGGCTGAGGCAGCAGGGAGCTAATGTATCAGCACTGCCCTAAGCATGCACACACCTGGCTGGGCCATGACAGCAACCCGGCCTGGCCACAACTTTGCTCCAAAATTGGAGTGAGCACCATGAGTGAGGAGATGCCCGGCAGTGGGAGCAGACATTTCTGAGCCTGCAGGGGAATGGGGGCTTCCAAGGGCCTGAAAGTGGAGGGATACCTGGGTCCACAGCCACGTCTGGGCAGCTGATGCTGTGCCTAAGAGTGGGAGGCTCCCACTCTGCCAACTCGAAAGGGAGCTGGGTTCCAACCTGTTCCCAGCTCCAACTGGCTCCAAGGAATGTGTAGCCTTGTGCACACCTGCCCTGCTGCAGTTGGCATCTTCATAGTGGCCACTCCAGATGGGCTGCCACAGTCATTAAGAAGACAGAAGATGATTAGGAGTTCCCCTGTGGAAACTGAACATCAAAAACTGCCAAATAAGAATGTACAATTGAAAGAAGAGAGCAGACATTTCGATCAACTTTGCAAATGAGAAGTTCCTTTTCAGGGAATCACTGCTTTGAGGCTCCAAACAGCTCACCTGAAATGAACATCCAGGCTAGGATCATCTTGTCACTACAAATCAGCAGTTTAAGTATGTTCTTTAATTGTCCATTAGAATGCTCAACCACCGTGTAACCTGTGCTGATGTGGAATACAGAGAATCCAGCTTATATCTCATGATTTGTCCTACTAATGTATAGCTTAGGTCACAAACTTGGGGCCTTATCAGATGCAATGTGCTCAGAAATCCTAAACAGAAAACAAATGTGATCTTATATCTGAGCATTGTGGCAGAACCTACAGGGATGGCTAGGCTAAACCCAGAGAAACTGTTCCCTGCAGTCAGAACCCAGAGAACCCCTCTGGATAGACTAAGAGGCCCTAAGAACCTTTTGGCTCATAGACTCAGATCTGTCCTTGACAAGGTTCTGGCAAGAAGGGTAGCTTTTGCATGGTATCTCAAAATCTTCTAACAACAGTAGCAGTCTATACCAGCAGGCCCAACCTAGGATGGTGTCTGTGTTTCAATGGGCCACCATATGGTTAATCCAGGAGTCAATCAATCACAAATCTACTTGTTTTAGGGCAGAAGCAGACAGTTCATTGAATCTCCATACTTATTTGACAAGAGCAAACTGCTCATTGGTTATATTTCCCCTAGTCAGCATTGAGGATTTTTTAAATAATAAATCCACATAGGTAACAAAGAGCTTTTTAGAAGGAGAATAGATTTGTATCAAAAAATTTTCTCCCCACATGGCAGTTTGTTTTCTATGTCAGTTTTAGGCTTGCCAGTGGCCTGATCTAATGCCCAATTAGCTATAGCCCATGAGTCAGGTGGGTTCATGGCTTTCCATATGTTCCACCAAGACATGACTAACTACAGCAATTCCCACTAGGGCTTGGACAGAAAAGCTATCAGGAGTGCAAATAAACTATAGATCAAAACTAATAATGTATTCAGCAGTGGGGAACAAAATATCTTGCTGACGTTGGAGTATAGGTATCTTAAATGGAAACTGATATTAATCATAGAAGAAAACAATGAGAAACTAGATTCTTTTTTTTTTTTTTTTTTTTGAGGCAGAGTCTCGCTCTGTCGCCCAGGCTGGAGTGCAATGGCGCTATCTTGGCTCACTGCAAGCTCCGCCTCCCAGGTTCACGCCATTCGCCGGCCTCAGCCTCCCGAGTAGCTGGGAATACAGGCGCCCCCCCACCAGGCCCAGCTCATTTTTTGTATTTTTAGTAGAGACGGGGTTTCACCGTGCTAGCCAGGATGGTCTCGATCTCCTGACCTCGTGATCCACCTGCCTCGGTCTCCCAAAGTGCTGGGATTACAGGCGTGAGCCACCAAGGCCGGCCGAGAAACTAGTTTCTATTAAAATCTAAAATATCCTTTCCTCACCATTAGGAAAGTGTCAAGGCAAACTACAGTGTTCCCAATGCAAATATCAGACCAAGGTCTAACATCCATATCTTAAAAATTTCATAAATTGCTACGATAAAGACATGCCACCTACCCAACTATGAAAAAGACACACAAAATCCTGAAACAGAGGCCTTAAAATAATACATATTTAAGTGGCAAATATACATATGAAAAGACGTTCAACATAATTATTCCCCATGGAATTAAAAATTGAATCTAGAATGAAGTACTACTACAGAATGAGGTATTTAATAAAATGGTTAAAAGGAAAAAGATAAAATATCAGAGGAGATAAAATAACTGAAACTCTTCTACATTGCTTTTGGGAGTGTAAATTAACATAATCACTTAAAATGTATGCCATTATATAGATGACTATGTGCATGCCCTATGACTCTGAAATTCAACTCCCAAGTTTATACTCAACATAATATAAATACATATTAACAGCAAAATTATAATCAATAGCCCTAAACTGAAAACAAAGGAAATGCTATCAAAAACTATAATTCTATACAGTAACTGAATGAATGAATGATGAGTACATTTAACAATACAAATGAATGTCATAAATAAAATGTCAATAAACAGAAATAAGACATAGGTCAACATACAATCTATGATTTGATTTGTATAATACAAACACAGGCAATATTAATCTATATTGTTCACAAACAGATTAAGTAAAGACTTTTCTTTCGAGAAGTGGAATGGGATGTTCATGACTGTAAAAAAAAAGATAAAATGAACTCATAGTTGCAGAAAATGAGCTATTTCTTGATCTGAAAGTTAGTTATATAATTTCCATTTGTAAAAAAGTCATGAAGATGCCACTAATATTCTTTTCTGTATACACAATTATATTTCAGTAATAAAAAAATGAGAATGGGTAAAATGATGATGTCAAAAGGCATATTTCCCATGAGGGGGTAGTGATGGTAAATGGTAGCAATGAGTTATGTTGCACTGGTTACAATCTTTTTCTTGATGTCGATGCTAAGTTCACCGATTTTTGCACACTTGGGGGTGATAAATGCATTTATTTCCTTATTTGTGGTGGTGATTTCACTGACATTCATAAACCAAAAGGAAAAGAATGGCAGCATGAAATCTGGTGACAATTTGGGAAGAAAATGGAAAAATGATGGAGGAAGATCTACCAAGCAAATGGAAAACAAAAAAAGGCAGGGGTTGCAATCCTAGTCTCTGATAAAACAGACTTTAAACCAACAAAGATCAAAAGAGACAAAGAAGGCCATTACATAATGGCAAAGGGATCAATTCAATGAGAAGAGCTAACTATCTTAAATACATATGCATCCAATACAGGAGCACCCAGATTCATAAAGCAAGTCCTTAGAGACGTACAAAGAGACTTAGACTCCCACACAATAATAATGGGAAACTTTAACACCACACTGTCAACATTAGACAAATCAACGAGACAGAAAGTTAACAAGGATATCCAGGAATTGAACTCAGCTCTGCACCAAGCGGACCTAATAGACACCTACAGAACTCTCCATCCCAAATCAACAGAATATACATTCTTCTCAGCACCACATCGCACTTATTCCAAAATTGACCACGTAGCTGGAAGTAAAGCACTCCTCAGCAAATGTAAAACAACAGAAATTATAATGAACTGTCTCTCAGACCACAGTACAATCAAACTGGAACTCAGGATTAAGAAACTAACTCTTTTTCTTTCTTTTTTTTTTTTTTTTGAGACGGAGTCTCGCTGTCGCCCAGGCTGGAGTGCAGTGGCGCAATCTCGGCTCACTGCAGGCTCCGCCCCCTGGGGTTCACGCCATTCTCCTGCCTCAGCCTCCCGAGTAGCTGGGACTAGAGGCGCCCGCCACCTCGCCCGGCTAATTTTTTGTATTTTTAGTAGAGACGGGGTTTCACCGTGTTAGCCAGGATGGTCTCGATCTCCTGACCTCGTGATCCGCCCGCCTCGGCCTCCCAAAGTGCTGGGATTACAGGCGTGAGCCACCGCGCCCGGCCAAGAAACTAACTCAAAACCGCTCAACTACATGGAAGCTGAACAACCTGCTGCTGAATGACTACTGGGTATGTAACGAAATGAAGGCAGAAATAAAGATGTTTTTTGAAACCAATGAGAACAAAGACACAACATACCAGAATCTCTGGGACACATTTCAAGCAGTGTGTACAGGGAAATTTATAGCACTAAATGCCCACAAGAGAAAGCAGGAAAGATCTAAAATTGACACACTAACATCACAATTAAAAGAACTAGAGAAGCAAGAGCAAACACATTCAAAAGCTAGCAGAAGGCAAGAAATAACTAAGATCAGAGCAGAACTGAAGGAGATAGAGACACAAAAAACCCTTCAAAAAATCAATAAATCCAGGAGCTGGTTTTTTGAAAGATCAACAAAATTGACAGACCGCTAGCAAGACTAAGAAAGAAGAAAAGAGAGAAGAATCAAATAGACACAATAAAAAGTGATAAAGGGGATATCACCACCGATCCCACAGAAATACAAACTACCATCAGAGAATACTATAAATACCTCTATGCAAATAAACTAAAAAACCTTGAAGAAATGGAGAATTCCTGGACACATACACCCTCCCAAGACTAAACCAGGAAGAACTTGAATCCCTGAATAGACCAATAACAGGCTCTGAAATTGAGGCAATAATTAATAGCTTACCAACCAAAAAAAGTCCAGGACTAGACAGATTCACAGCCGAATTCTACCAGAGGTAGACGGAGGAGCTAGTACCATTCCTTCTGAAGCTATTCCAATCAATAGAAAAAGAGGAAATCCTCCCTAACGCATTTTATGAGGTCAGCATCATCCTGATACCAAAGCCGGGCAGAGACAAAACAAAAAAAGAGAATTTTAGACCAATATCCCTGATGAACATCGAGGCAAAAATCCTCAATAAAATACTGGCAAACTGAATTCAGCAGCATATAATAAAGCTTATCCACCATGATCAAGTGGGCTTCATCCCTGGGATGCAAGGCTGATTCAACATACACAAATCAATAAATGTAATCCAGCATATAAACAGAACCAATGACAAAAATGACATGATTATCTCAATAGATGCAGAAAAGGCCTTTGACAAAATTCAACAACGCTTCATGATAAAAACTCTCAATAAATTAGGTATTGATGGGAGGTATCTAAAAATAATAAGAGCTATTTATGACAAAACCCACAACCAACATCATACTGAATGGACAAAAACTGGAAGCATTCCCTTTGAAAACTGGCACAAGACAGGGATGCCCTCTCTCACCATTCCTATTCAACATAGTGTTGGAAGTTCTGGTCAGGGCAATCAGGCAGGAGAAAGAAAGAAAGAGTATTCAATTAGGAAAAGAGGAAGTCAAATTGTCCCTGTTTGCAGACGACAAGATTGTATATTTAGAAAACCCCATCATCTCAGCCCAATATCTCCTTAAGCTCATAAGCAACTTCAGCAAAGTCTCAGGATACAAAATCAATGTGCAAAAATCACAAGCATTCTTATACACCAATAACAGACAAACAGAGAGCCAAATCATGAGTGAACTCCATTCACAATTGCTTCAAAGAGAATAAAATATCTAGGAATCCAACTTACAAGGGATGTGAAGGACCTCTTCAAGGAGAACTACAAACCACTGCTCAACGAAATAAAAGAGGATACAAACAAATGGAAGAACATTCCATGCTCATGGATAGGAAGAATCAATATCATGAAAATGGCCATACTGCCCAAGGTAATTTATAGATTCAATGCCATCCCCATCAAGCTACCAATGACTTTCTTCAAAGAATTGGAAAAAACTACTTTGAAGTTCATATGGAACCAAAAAAGAGCCCGCATTGCCAAGACAATCCTAAGCCAAAAGACAAAGCTAGAGGCATCATGCTACCTGACTTCAAACTATACTACAAGGCTACAGTAACCAAAACAGCATGGTACTGGTACCAAAACAGAGATATAGACAAATGGAACAGAACAGAGCCCTCAGAAATAATACCACACATCTACAACCATCTGGTCTTTGACAAACCTGACAAAAACAAGAAATGGGGGAAGGATTCCCTATTTAATAAATGGTGCTGGGAAAACTGGCTAGCCATATGTAGAAAGCTGAAACTGGATCCCTTCCTTACACCTTATACAAAAATTAATTCAAGATGGATTAAAGACTTAAATGTTAGACCTAAAACCATAAAAACCCTAGAAGAAAACCTAGGCATTACCATTCAGGACACAGGCATGGGCAAGGACTTCATGACTAAAACACCAAAAGCAATGGCAACAAAAGCCAAAATCGACAAATGGGATCTATTTAAACTAAAGAGCTTCTGCACAGCAAAAGAAACTACCACCAGAGTGAACAGGCAACCTACAGAATGGGAGAACATTTTTGCAATCTACTCATCTGACAAAGGGCTAATATCGAGAATCTACAAAGAACTCAAACAAATTTACAAGAAAATAACAAACAACCCCATCAACAAGTGCGTGAAGGATATGAACAGACAGTTCTCAAAAGAAGACATTTATGAAGCCAACAGACACATGAAAAAATGCTCATCATCACTGGCCATCAGAGAAATGCAAATCAAAACCACAAAGACATACCATCTTACACTAGTTAGAATGGCAATCATTAAAAAGTCAGGAAACAACAGGTGCTGGAGAGGATGTGGAGAAATAGGAACACTTTTACACTGTTGGTGGGACTGTAAACTAGTTCAACCATTGTGAAAGACAGTGTGGTGTTTCCTCAAGGATCTAGAACTAGAAATACCATTTGACCCAGCCATCCCTTTACTGGGTATATACCCAAAAGATTATAAATCATCCTGCTATAAAGACACATGCACACATATGTTTATTGCAGCACTATTCACTATAGCAAAGACTTGGAACCAACCCAAATATCTATCAATGATAGACTGGATTAAGAAAATGTGGTACATATACACCATGGAATACTATGCAGCCTTAAAAAATGATGAGTTCATGTCCTTTGTAGGCACAGGGATGAAGCTGGAAGCCATCATTCTCAGCAAACTATAGCAAAAGAGAAAACCAAACACCACATGTTCTGACTCATAGGTGGGAATTGAACAATGAGAACACTTGGACACAGGAAGGGGAACATCACACACTGGTGCCTGTTGTGGGGTGGGGGAAGCGGGAAGGGAACACATTAGGAGATATACCTAATGTAAATGTCGACTTAATGGGTGCAGCACACCAACATGGCACATGTATACATATGTAACAAACCTGCATATTGTGCACATGTACCCAAGAACTTAAAGTATTATAGAAAAAAAAAAGAAAAGTAATTGGAAGTTTTTATTTTAATAAGGTTAAACTCCTATTTATTTATCCTTGTGTTAAATTCCTATGTTAATTATCTATTTAAAATATATAAAATATATGTCTACAAAAAGACTTGTACAAGTCTTCCCTTTCTCTCTTCCTAAATTTTTCCATCTGCCCTTTCTTTGCCTTCCATTCCTTTTTTCCTCTCCTAAGCACAGTCATCTATGTTCAAGAAAGCAGGTAGAAAGAGGGAGGAGGTTCCTCCAGGAATCTAAGCTCAGGTACGCAAGGAAGCTGGACTTTGAAGTGGAGTGTTACATGTTCTGGTGAGTATGACACTGATAGGGAGCAGGAGGCCAAAGAAGGAGCCACAGCATGGCCTGACATCCTAGGCAGTAAGGTGGTAAAAAAAATCAGGCAGAGGAGGCACAATGATTGAAAATGTAATTAGGTTGACCAAATAAATTTTTTGATTAAGCAAATAAGTCAAGACATCAAGAATAATTACATTTAAGATTATTTTACTTGCTGAGAAATGATTTTGAAATGTGGAAAGAGAGGTTAGTTAGAACCATGAGGTATTATACTAGAATTGTAAGTATTGGTATGATTTTTTCATATACTGTCAATCTTCATTATTCATGTATTCTGTATCTACGATATTCACTTACTTACTAAAATGTATTTGTAATCCCAAAATCAGTAGAGCACTTTCATTGGCATGTTTAGGCATTGGGAAAAGCATCAAAAAATTGTAGTTGCCAAATGTACATTTTTCCAGCCAAGGTCAAACAAGGGAGTGTTCTGCTTTTTTGTTTCAACACTTCCAGTATAAACAAATGTTATTTTCTTGGTCTATTGAGTGCCACAGCTCATTTTTGGGCTTTTAGTTGATGCATTTGCTGTTTTAAATGGTCCCTAAGGATAGTGCTGAAGTGTCATCTAGTTTTCCTAAGTGCGAGAAGTATCTGATGTGCCTTACAGGGAAAGTGCCTGTTAGATAAGCTTTGTTCAAGGAAGAGTTACAGTGCTATTGGTTGTGAGTTCAATGTTAACCAAAATTATATATCAAATAAGGTGTTTTTACACATAAACACATACATAACCACATTATGTATTAATTAATTGATGAAAATATTATGACTAGAGGGAAACTGTATTACCAGAAAGTGAGGGCATGATCAAAGAATAGAGATATGTCAAAAAAACTAGTAAGAGCCTGCTTGAATGTTTTTTTAATTGAGAAAATCTAGGGCAGTTTGAGCATCAAAATAAATAATGAGAATATCACACTATAGGCTATTTAATAGAAGAGAAGTTAATGAGTTTATACATATATAAATAAATGAGGAAGAAAGGAAAGCTCTTTTTCCTATTAATTAAAAATAAAGAAGTATTAACAGATATTCATAATTAGAAAATCATAACAGTGACTGAAGTTTTGCCAAGGAATGATATACTAGTATCATATTGGAATATCTCTCTACACAATGATGGCTTTCACACTGGAAGACCTGGGCCTAGGGATGGGAAAATAGCCTCCAGACCTAGGTAGATGGTCATTTTACAGAATGAAAAGCCTGCAAACCTTCAAGGCTACAGAGAATAACAACAAAAGACTATTAAGGACATAAGAGACAAGGAGAGATAAAGTAACTGCTCCACATTGAAGGAGACTAATAAAGCATATAAATTAAAAGCAACAGTTTTCCTGGACAGGTATCTGGATGTGAAATGAAACATATACACTGATACAATGATTGATAAAATTAAAATGGAGTATGTGGATTGGAAAACAGCATTTCTAAATGGAAGGTGGTATGTAGGAAAGTATTCTTGTTTTTAGAAGGTGCACACTAGGGTATTTTAGAGGTGATGGGGCATCATATCAGACAAAGACAATTTTCATCTATCTTTCTGTCTTTTGTATATCTGTATATTTATCTATGTAATCTATAAGATAGAACACTATTTCTCAATTTTTTTTTTACCCTGCAGAAGCCTTTGAAATAATTTGTAAGTTTTCCACAAAAAAATATTATATCCATAGGTCTTAGTAACTTAATGAGGTCTGCAAATTTAGATATATTATAATAATAACTTTCAATGCTATTTTAAGTTGAGAATGTTTTTGGTTTTGTTTTTGGTGGATGTGCTTATTGGGCCATATCATTAGCCAACTCTCTTTGTGTAGTTCCCCTTCTCCATAAACTACATCACTTTGAATGTAAGTCAAGTAAGGCAGGTAAAGGAAATGAGAGTTTTTATATTTTTTAATAAATCTTTTTTTTTTTTTTTTGCTTTTTGGTAGGTATTATAGTACTACCCCAAATTTTCACTATACAAAATGCTAATAAAGGAAGTACATGGTAAATGACTTGTTTAACTGCAGTTTCAATGCCTCCTTCCATTAAAACTAGATCCAACCATTCTTGAAAAAAAGATAAACATAGCATACCTTTCTTAAATTTAATTTCTTTGTATAAATTTTAAAAACACATACGGCAAACAATGTTCTTATTAAATTACTGTCATAAGGCAAAAAGAGATTTAAAAATTTAAAGGGAAGCTAAATATATTTAACTTAAATAAATGATATATGTTGATTTTCATTAATGTTATTGTGTTGAGTAGTACATTTACTTAACCATAATCTAAAACAATGTGAACACAAATTAGTCTAAGACACAAATTTATACAAGACTTTGAAAAAATATTTTTTAACTGACTGACATAAGAGGAGCTAATATATGAGTATAGTAATTACAAAGTTATCATATATAGGTGTTAGTTTTTTCATCTTTTTATTCATGAAATGTGCTACTGTTGATGCCAATAATGAAAGAAGTAATTTATTCAAAGTGAAACCTGAGCTTGAGTTTTCCTGCACAAAATAGTCAATCCCTCATCAAAGCTGAGATAAGTGTAAGGGATTTATTTTCAATTGAAATTAAACATATTTTGCTTTTGCTGAAAATATTTGTTAAAGCTGCTTGCTCACACGTGAAGAAGTTAGAAGCAGTGGTAAAATATTCACTGTTTTCTTATAAATGGCAAAATATTCTTCTTTTATATAAATTGTAAAAGAAATTCACTTCTTGCTTAGGAAGGAGCAGTAAACCTCAACTGAAGTATAATTTTACTACGGCTTACCTATCCTCTTCTCTCAAAGTCAAGTCCTCCAGCTGAGCAGAAGATTCAATAAAAGTGTCACAGTCACCAAGTCTTGAAATTGAGTGAATGTCGTTCAGTTTTGTTCTGCAGTCCTTCTAGGTAGTTCTCAAAAAGACTTAAACCTACTGATTTCCTTTCTCACATTCAAACCCAAGTAGCGGTGGAAAATATCACATACAACCCCACCATCACCCCCGTGCGACTTTTTTTTTTTTTTTTGCAATGTGATTTTCCCAAAGATTTAGGTTCTTTTTAAATCCTAGGATCTTTTCACTTAATGTCAAAATATTTTCTCCAGGGCCTTGCAGAGATTAGTTCAACTGGTTTATGTGGTGAAAATATCTCTTAAGTAGACTAGTTTTTTAATTCATTCTTAATCTTCAAAGCACTGAGCAAAATCTGGCCTACTATTTCCTTGAAAAAAATTCCTGCAGTAAGATGAATAAGTTCTGGAGATCTAATGTACAGCAGCCTGAATACAGTAAATAATACTGTATTGTTTACTTAAAGTTTGCTAAGAGAATAGATCTTAAGTATCCTTACCATCCCCCTGCCTACACACACACACACACACACAATGGTAACTGTGTGTGGTGATGAACATGTTAATTTGATTGTGGTATCATTACACCATATATGTTTATGGATACACATGTCAAATCATCACAATGTCTACCTGGAATATATATAATTTTTAATTTGTCCATTATACCTCAAAATGCTGAAAAAAGTACAAAAAATTCCTGCAATTCTTATTTCACCTAAATCATGCTGCTTTGAAATATTCCTTCATTAAATCATCAGATTTATTTGCTTGGCAGAGAATTTATGTCCTGTTTGTTCACACTTATCCTTCAGTGATAAAGTAATAAAGTTACCTATTTTTGTAGTATTATTCAGATTTTATTTTAATTTTATTATTAAAAATTGTTGACACGATATTTGCAACACAATTTTTTTTAAAGAAAAATAGTTCTACATTATAACACCAGAGTGTTCTTTACTTTTTTTAAAGAGTTGAAACCTCTTCTGAAGCTTACTATTGATGGGGCACCATAAATACATATGCCAACGTAGTCTTTATAAAACAGACTTGTTGTTTAAATGTATAAAGACAAAACTACTAAGTATATCTGCCTTTGCTTGCCTCTACCAGTTTTTTCAGTAGCTTCCATTACAACGACAAACTAATTTTGTGTCTTTTATTGCAATAATGTATGGCCATGCTTGAGAAGATTGTAACTTTTCACCCTAAGCTTTTCTTCCTCCATAACAAAACTCATATTTAAAAAGCTCTATATAGAACTCTAAATGTTACATAAATTCATAAACTCATAAAATATAAAGCAAAAGGACATAAGTAACATGAGAAAAAAATAAATAAATCACAATAAAATTCATGTCTGACCTAACAATCCTTGTTTTGCAATTATTTTAAAAAGCAGCTAAATGTGGTAGTAATGGGGATGGCAAGTGAGTTGTGGCATGCGAAAACACATTATATAGAATCAAACTCCTATTTCTTATTAACTTGTAAAGGTTATTCCCACCCACAAGCCAATCTGATGTATTAAGGAGAAATTGAGAAAGGTAACTCTAGAGGGAAAGGCTGACATTATTGGCCCCTCCATGCAATGAACAGCTTACAAACTGTCTCTTTGGGAATTTCACCTCATATAAAACACGGAGAATGGATACAACTACATGACCACAGTTTTAGTGTACATTTCCATGTGTGCTGAATGACTTTCATTAACTTGCTACCCAGGCTGCTTGGTCAATCTCCATCAGTACAAACTTTAACATCACATGGAACTCCAAGTTAAAAAAGAAACAAACAAACAAACAAAAAGCCAACAAACAAAAAGGCAACTATCACTATCTCTCACAGAAATTATAGTGACATTTCATGGCACTTTAGATTTCTTGTAAATCCCATTTGAATACCTTTCTCTCTCTCTAAATATGCATGTACTATTACTATATGTACTATATAGTAATATATACTATATATTAATTTAGCTATTACTATATATGTATATAACACCATCTTTGTATGTGTGTAACACACCTATATATATAGAAAGAAAAAGGGAGAAAGAAAACTGTAGATTAAATGATAGTACTACATCATTGTTAAGTTTTGTGAGTTATGTAATTGTACAGTGGATAGGTAATGATATAAGAAAATGTCTAGAATTTGGGGGATAACTGGGCATATTTCTAAATTTACTCTCCAGTGACTCAAGAGAGACAAAGAATGCTAAATCCAAAGAGCAAAATGTAAACAGTTAAGAAATCTGAGGAAACGTATATTGGTATTCTTTATAATACTATTGCAACTTTTCTATACGTTTTGTTTGTTTGTTTTGTTTTGTTTGTTTGTTTGAGATGGAATCTCACTCTGTTACCCAGGCTGGAGTGGAGTGGCATGATCCCGGCTCACTGCAACCTCCGCCTCCCAGGTTTAAGGATTCTCCTGCCTCAGCCTCCTGAGTGGCTGGGATTACAGGTGTGCACCACCAAATCTGGCTAATTTTTGTATTTTTTTTAGTAGAGATGGGATTTCACCATATTGGTTAGGCTGTTCTCGAACTCCTGACCTCGTGATCCACCCACCTCGGCCTCCCAAAGTGCTGGGATTACAGGCGTGGGCCACTGCACCCAGTCCTGTATATGTTTTTATTTAAATCAAAATATAACTTGTAAGGAATGAAAAGTCCACGTATACATGAAGCCTTTAATAGTTCTTTTATATTTGTAGCATGTTATGTCTAACCACATTACTTCCTAAATTAACTACATACTTAATTTAGGAAGTGACTAAAGATATAAAAAGTTACAGCAAATTTTCATGCTAGCCTTTAACAATAAGTATTTTTGAGTCAATAAATTAAGGGTTACTTCCAGTCTAAACAATATGTAGAATTAAACATTCCCTTTATTATTTCTTAATGCTCAAGACATGTATTTGTCATAGCCTCCATAATATTTTATAACACTTTTATAGGTCTTAAGTCAGGCATTACCATTATATGTAATTCTTAATAACTGAGTCAGATTCAGAGTAGATGCAAAATACTTATTTAATTAATCAATAAATGCATCAATGGATTTGTGCTTTTTTCATCATATCTAAAGAGAAAGTAATTAAAATTGATTAATTATTTATTAAAATTTTCAGAGATTATTTAGACTTCCATTAATGAATTAAACCGTGATAAATCTGGGCAATGTTTATGTTCTCATGAAGTGAAATGTAATAAAAAGTGAAGAGAACTAACTTTTAGAATAATCATTAATGTCTTTAGAATTGGAGTAGTCATCTTATCGAATATTCACCATTCCTTTATCACTAGTATAAGGACATAAAGCTAAACAATTATGAAGACTCCTTCCAGCTTTAAAATATTAATCCTAAATATTATCAGAAGAACCATAAGCATGGGATAGCCTAAGCATGTGTGCACACACACACACGTAAGCAATCATACCTTAACTTTTTAAATAAAGAGCCTATTGTATTTCAGTTCCAGTCATATTTAATGATTGTGCTGTTTAATATTCCTCTAAGAACTGAAGTATATTTTGAGGAGTAAAAATAATTTAGACAATTGTAATGTTAGATCTGAAAAGTCATAAATATACATTGTTCCAGGATCAAGCTTTCTACTATTTGCAAAGTGATAGGTTTGAAAATTCTTGTTTAAAAAATAAATTGATCACTTTTTTTCTGAAGACACAATTAAAGTGAAATTAAATAAAAGAGTATAATTCCACAAGAAACAAAATAAAAGGGGTGCCATTAGGAGGAAAAACATTTCAACCAATTCCAAGTCCCAGACTGCAGACTAATGAATGTTAACCAAATATTGATGACAAAGGAAAACGCAGCCTAAGTTCCTATAGAGGAGAATGGAGCCCAAAGCAAGGCATTCTCCCAATAACCTCAGAGATCAGGATTCAAAAATACCAGAAATAAGTCAGGAAGAATGTGAGACAGGAGAGAAAACATAAATATGAATGAAATGGTATTTGGAACAGTAGACCCCTCACCCCCAACACTGATGCAAACTTCTCACGCAGAAAACTTAAATCTGCCCTCCAGGTAAAGTGAAACACGGTGAATAGCCCCTGGGTTGGGGAGAAGGCAGAGTTCTTCATGTACTGTCATTTAGACATCCCTTACACAAAAGCTAGATCCATCTTCAAACTTGGAAGCATCAATTTTCTAATCAATAAGACACACCGAAGTACACAGTGTTCTGAGACCTTTATTATCTCATTAAATATAAACAGAAAGTCACAAATCACCACACATTTAAGGAAAGCCTGAAACATGGCATAGAAAGAACAGATTACATGCACAAATACAATCTTCCTCAAACAAATATCTTCAGGGAGATTTGAAAAGACCTATTATTCACAAAGGGTGATGCTATTTAAAAGATAAGAAGTGTGAGAGAGAAAAAATAAAGAGGGAGGGAGACAGAGAGAAAAAAGAAGGAGAAGGGGAGAGGCACACAGCAGTAGGTGTTAGAAAGTGAAAATAAATGAAAATGCCGAAGACAAATTAGTGAAAGCGGAAAATCTACAATATTTTTTAAAAAAGCATACATGGATAACAGATGCTTTTATGAGCATAAAAGCACAAATGGATAAATATAAGGGAAGATATAAAGGACATAAAAATCAGTCTAAGGTGTCCAGCATATGTTCAATAAAGGTTCAAAAAGGGCAAATGAACGATCATGCCCCCATATTGAAAGGACATTCCAAAGTTCATGAAAAAAAAATGTATCAACCCTGACACTATAATATATTGTGAAATAGCATAAACAAAATAACAAAATGTTTAAAGTTTTTTTTTTATTTAACAGGGCGAAGAAAAGTGAAGAAATATAATTGTTGAGGAAGTAGCTACCTGCAATATTATAAGAATTGAATTCGCATCAGTATACTCATCAGCAACACTAGATGTCAGGTGCCACTGCAGTGGTGTTTGTTACATTCTGAGACATTATTTTAGCCAAGTGTTCAATACTCAATACCTTCAATTAAGTTTTAGCCAGAATAAAAATATTTTCAGACACAAGAAGAATCAGAAAACTTCCTTCTATACATTCTGTCCTAGGAAATTACTTACGGATATGCTTAGCAGTATAAGGATATAAACTATGTGAGAGAAGATCACAAAGGAAGTGATATCACAGTTCCAGTTTCTATAACAGACCTAAATAAGATGGAAATCAGTCTACATTGAGCATTGAAACAGGTGTGTTACAATCTTCAGGTCAGAGGTAGGTGTTCAGTAAAAAAGAAAGAGAAGTGTATTCAAAAGATTTCACTTTTTTCTTTTTTAGTTTTTGGAACAACTTAGGGCAGTCAATGCAAGGTAAAAAAGAGAAAGGAAGAAATCACAGGGATAAGAAGCTATATAGGAGATTAATGAAAGTTATAGAAGACTGTAAATTGTCAGATAAATGATTTACATTGTGATACAAAATAAACATTTTGTCCTGGTTTAACTAGAAACAGTGACAATTTAATTTCTGAAGATGGGCGTGAAGGAGTTGAGGATCTTTGAAAAATAAATGTTAATCACAGGAGAGAAAATTAAGAAATCAAAAATTAGTTATTTAAGCATTTAGTTTTTAAATATAGAATTCAAAGGGGAATGAAGCAGGAAACTACTTTTCATTAAAAGTCTTTCTGCTTTCTCAAGCATTTGTAAATATTACTTTGATTATTCTTCAAATGAATTTTTCACATGAACCAATCATCAATTTGCATTTTCTTATTTCATAACAAATTTGTTGACATTTTTACAGTGTCAAAAAGTGGCAAATATCATATATAATTTTAATATAAATAAATAAAACACATGGAATGGATTCCTGAGTCACTTCTCCTTGTATTCTTCTCAAAACACAATCACATTGTTTTGCTTTATCTAAAATTTTCTTTTCCTGCATGGTTCTTTATGATATAATTGCCAGCTGTTGTGATGTTTTGATTTGTTTTTTAAAAAACTCATTATAAAACATTTTATGTCATTTCAACACGAGCTAGAAGGCATTAACAGTCCTCAAGGTACAGAGCCATAGCATTTCCTTCTGGAACATTCAAAATTTCCTTGAAAAATTAAGGCAATTACTTGTTTAAAATATTTTCAGAAGATACTCCCACAAAAGCAATGATATGCCATTTGCTTTAGCCTCACAAACTTTCTGGCATCATATTACAGTGTATTTATCAAATTCAGACATCCACTTATATATCAATATCAAATTTAAAAACTAAATTATCATAATCAGAAACTGAGGTCAGTGTGCCCGAATTAGCACTGAGGCTCACTTATAACCTGTGTTACCTTGAGCAAGTATTTATTCTGTCTATTTCTGATTTCCTTTGTGATGAACAGCATTAGTCATTTCTATTTCTGTGTACATTGTGAAGATTAGATGTAAATTGTTTTGTGCTGTGCCTGGCACTGATTACGTCTGTAATTCATGGGAGCAGTGTTGTTGTCAATGTTGCTGCTGATGGTGCTGATAAAATTTATCTTCATCATTGCAAACCCCAACCTTCCAACATAGCTGTTTGTATTTCCTAAGTGATAGTTGATGGATATCACCAATTCTCCCTTCAAGCCAAAAATACCCATGACTGCAGAAACTAGTGGATAGTTATTCTAAAAGAGATGACATTATAGGAAATGCAACATATGGCCACAGAGCCATATAACTATGGTCCTTATGGCACCTATAAAATGCCTTCATAGCTAATTCCAAGTGAGTTGTTACTCAAGAGCTATCAGTCACTGAGAACAAGTATCAGGTAGCTGATGCCTTAAAAAGGCAATATACAGTTGATTATGTAAGTTCTGATGTATCTTAGAAAATGTTTCTCGTATACTCATTTTACTGATGTCCACGCAGTACAGAGAATCTTATGTATTAAAGAGAAAATATATACTAATAGCAAAGTTTCCAATTTACTCACAATACTCCTTATACATGCACAGAAAGCTTAATTTTCATTTTCCATAAAAGATAAAAAAAACTTACTCATAGTTTTCCACCTTGCTAGGTTTTAAGGGGAGATATTAATATAAAATAGTTTAATCTGCCAATATACGATTTCGTAGTCTTCACAATTATAAAATTCTATTTTCAATGATTTAGTCACTTTCAAGGACATATTCTGCCATTCAAATGCCTCATTCTGTTGTAATTTTTATCAAGATATGTCAGGACATACTGAGTCCATCAACATTCTTATAGTAGCAGGGGATAAGAGGAACTTATATCTTCTTTTGTTTTTCAGCTCCCCTCTCATCGATGCTGTGCTGTAACTGGTGTAGTCTGTATCCCATGACGGTGATATTAAAATGTGATTTTCTGATTAGTCTTTGTAGGGCAATATTCTGACGTCTACTTCTAGAGGCCATGGTGCAAAAACTGCTTGTCCCCAGTCATGATGTACTTTGTCAAACTTGTGTTAGACTGTCTACAGGGCATGAGAGTTCTCCAGTTCCACACCGACATGTCTAGATTCCCCATTTTCTTCTCCGTAAACAGTTTTCTGGTATTCAGGACAAAGGCCTTAGGTTCAACTGTTATGCCACCTCCACTGGCATACTGCACTTTTGTTTTGCATCATTCTCATGCTTAGTATCAAGCTAAATAAGCTATATTTGCTAAAACTTGGGAAACTAAATTTCCTAAAGGAAGTCACCATGTTTTCAGAAACTTTTGTTTCTGCCTCAAATTCTTCAAATCCCAACAACCTAGTACAGTGTCTATCAGCAACAATTAATTAATAATAATTGGCTGAATTGGTGGGTGGATCATTCAAGGCCAGGAGTTAAAGAACAGCCTGCCCAACATGGCAAAAACCTGTCTCTAGTAAAAATACACAAATTAGCCCTGTGTTGGGGGTGTGCACCTGTAATGCCAGCTATTCAGGAGGCCGAGGCAAGAGAATCACTTGAATCTGGGAGGTGGAAGTTGCAGTGAGCAGAGATCTCATGACTGCACTCCAGCCTGGGCAACAGAGCAAGACTCTATCTCAAAAAACAAACAAACAAACAAAATGACTTAATCAATCACCCAATCAATAAGATCATGTGGCACCAAGCTAATTACTGAGTAATTGAAAGAAACAGGATTATAAGTCACAATGAAAGTAAATAATAGTTTCAATAAATACATAATTTTGCTTTGCTCCAACTATGAGCTCATTGAGATGGATCATTTCCATCCATGATGAAAAGCACAGCCCATTCCTAATAGAGGGCAAATTAAGTGGTGTAAAAATGACATTAATATATGTAGAACTGAGTGAGGAAGTCTGACCTTAGGTACCACAGGGGTCATGGTTGCCGATATTGAAGTTGCCAAGAATTTAGGCAAGTTAGAGATGACTATGGGAGTTATGAATTTGCTGATGAAGTCATTAAGGAGAAGGGATTGTATTTTGAGTGTTTGTTGCTAAAACACTAAATATAAAGATGCTGGTATTAAGGGCATGGTAAGCATTTTCAAAAAGTCACTGCTGATTGGCAGTGGCCAAAGTGTAACCTATAATTAGCATGGGAGTCTACAGCAAAGAGGGCTAGAAAAGAAAGAAAAATTTCAATTAAAGTAAATAAGTTGTATTTGTTGTTGATAGAAATATCTGATGATACAAGAAAATATATCTTAATAGTATACTGTTACTTCGAGGTTCATTGGAAAAATCCAGGGGTTGTTTTGACGATAGGGAATAGTGAGATAAGCAGTGTAATAGAATAATGCTACAAATACTGAATAAAGTATTTGAGAAGTAGAGTTTCTCTACAGTAAATACGATGAAGAAAGCACAGGTAAAGGAGGAAATTAATAGTGGCATGGGAAATAAACGCTAAACAGAAGCTGTATCGGTGGAGAATATTGGATAAGTGACCAAACCTAGACTGTAAAGGTCCCACTTGTGAGCAAAATTGCTCATAACCCTTGTAATAAACTATCTCAAATAACTCATGAAAGTATGCATATATTAAGCCATTGTCTTAGGAAGAGTCACAAACACCTATGCTGTGATTAGTGCTGCAACATTCATTAATTTGCTTTTGTAAATTAAAGGCTAATGAATTAAATGAAGGCAGCTGTCAGTTTTATTGTTTCAAACCCCAAATATGTGACAATACTCAATAAACATTTTTAATTATTGTTCAATGACTAAATCACTAAAGTATGTCTTTAATTAACAAATACAAGTAAATTCAAAATAAATTTATATGTAAATGGACTCACAGGTGGACCTTAACCACCTGAAACAACTTAAATGCTGGTAAAATAGGGGTACAACAATTCACAATACAATTAAAGTTATGAAATGTATCATATACACAAAAAAGAGTCTGGAAAGATCTACATCTTATTGTAATGATTTTCTAGGCTCTAAAGCACTAAGATGAAATTTTGGTTTCCAAAATTTCTAAACTGAATCTCCATGTAAAAGTCAACTTTTAAGATTTTTAACAAAAATCTTATTTTCCATTTTACTTTTTAGTGCACATAAAGTGCTATTTATCACTGCCCTATCCTTCATTTAAGCTCTTCTTGACCCTTTAACATTTATTGTTTGCATAATACATTCTATTTCAAAACAGTCCCAAGAGTTTTCTTTATGATTTCCATAATTTCCCTGTGAGATAATTAAGAATGTCATCCTCCCCTGGAATTTACAGATAAAAATATTACCTGATCAATTTACATGGCTTGTTCACATAGATAATGTAGTCAAACTTCATTAATTTAGTAATTTAGTTTCCTATTCCAAATCATGACATTATATATTAACTTTTTACTACTCTTAATTTCATCTCTCCCATAGCCTCAATCTAGCATCATCTTCAAACTGTAATCACTCTCTACCTCAAGTGTAAAATACTTTCCTTCTTTATGCCAACTTGTCATTGGCTTTCTCAGTATGGCTTTAACTGGCACCTTTTCCTTTCTGCAAATTGCTAGTACCTAAAATGAAATTATTCTACAGCCTTAATTGTATACAAAATGCTGTATAACTACTTCATCCTAGAACAAGATCAAATGTAAATTATAGGTTATGCTTTTAAAATAAAGATCTTTCCCAATTCAAGGACTGAACATGAATTTGTCCTTCATACTACCTTATGATACAATAAAATATTGTCAGTTAACACATTTAAACTCCTATAGAGTAGAATATAAGACAGTTTTTCAAGAGAAACTTTAAATATAGTTCCTCCATTTTTTTTGTAGTCCCAATAAATTGCAATCAATTTTGTCATGACTTCACTGGCAAAAAGAGAATTTAAATACACTAGGATTATTTCTTTATCTTTCCCTGAAAGGCAAGTGGGGAGAAGACCACATGGCACAATAACTTGACCAAAATTTAAGACATCAAGATTTTAATTTTAATTCCCATACTAACACTTCCTTACCAACCTCAGTTTCTGCAACAGTGAAAAAATGTAATTGTAACTCCATCACCTATTTCAGTGGTGTTAAAGAAGATCAAAGGAGATGACCTATTTGATAGATCTTTGAAACATACAGAACTGTTTAGAAGTGCAATGCATGAATAAATAGCCACATCTCTGCTCTCTTTTTATATTGCAGCTCTCATTATTCTGTGACCAAAAAAACCCTCACATTTTTAAGAAAAATGCAATAACAATTTTAAATTAAAAACACAAATCTGGACAAATAAACAAACAAAAAAACCCTCAAGCTTGAATTCTTTCAAATCTTTAAATTCTTCACTAGCCTCTGGGGTATCTTATATGCCATACTATTATCCAGGAGACTTTCCCAGTAAGTGTTGTGCTTTATTTCACTATCAGTAAGTCATCATGTCCTGGAAGCCTCTCTGTCTATTCCCCTTTGCCTACTCCAATTTGGCTTTGTTTCCATTTTTCTGTGCTTTACTTTCTCCTCTGCTCTTTTCTATCCTGAACAATTAAAACTGTGTAATATAATCATATATTCACCTTTCTGTATTCCTCAATAGACTGAATGTTCTGGACAAGCTGCTAAGTTATCTATTGTATCCATCATTGTTTTTCCAGAGCCCAGCACATAAAGGTTTTTATAAGTGTATAAATCAAGTCTTTAACTCCAACCAGAACATGAGTCTGTAGGTCTTTCTTTATTATCTTTAAGTAGTAACCAAATAAATTTAGAACATGGAGTTTAGATGAGTGAGGCTTCTCTAAGTTTTGCTGTAGCATATATTTTGAATAATAGAAATTCACTCTGAAATGCAGAATAGGAGAAAACAACTGACCAAGAAAGATTTGGAATATTTCGAAGATATCATACTCCATATAAAATGACTGAACAAGGTTATCAAAATTATTTCTGATACTGATAACCCACATTAAGGACTCAATTTTAATAACTTTATCATGTAATCTATTCATAGGAAGCCCAATGAGCTCAATACATGCCCTTTGGTAAGTCTACATTTTATTACACCACATTTCCAAGCACATTACCTGAGGTTCCATATTCTATATAAAATTGCTTTGTTGAATGGAAAAGAGTTATCACTTTTGATTAATATTTCATCAGAAGAACTTAGTTTTCTAGGTTCAGATATCATAAAGCATGATCATGTTTAACAATAAGAACTCAAAATTTCTTCTCCCCAGTAACACATCAATATCTCTTTAGCCTAAGTTCAACTGGGAATGGTCCTAATGTCTTACATGGAACATACTAATCTGTACTAACTCTTTATCATCTTTCCTATTTCCTGAGTCACAGTGGTATTTCTACCTGTTGGGCATATGCATTTTTAATCATGTTTTCATTGTGCTATTTTCTGCTATTCTCTAAATTATCCTTTGTATTTAATCCTTTGCTGCTTTATTCCCTGGAGTCTGTTTGGTTGTACAAAATCTCTTGGCCTAGGTTTTTTGTTTGTTCGTTAACCTCGTACCAAGTACTTCACCATCTGACCTTCCCTCTCTATTATCTACCAATCACACTAAGGTCCAAAATATAACATTTTCATTCTTAAGTAAGAATGTGTTATTTTTTATATAAAAACTAACAGGCAAGGCACAACAATTAACACATATTTTCCTGGTTCATGACCATTCAAATTTCAGATTTGCTTCTTTCCATGAATATTAAATAGTTCTGGTTACTAGTGGTTTTTTTTTTTTTTTTTGGAGTATTGTGGTGTTAAATATTTCATGGTGACAAGGCAAAAATAAGATGTACCATTAAATACAGGGCTGGCTGTATTAGCACCAACTAGCTCCTCTTCATAATGGTTACATGTGTTATTTCACAATACATGGAAATGAAAAATCTTTCATTGTGTACTTCTGTGTGAGCAATGGCAACGTTCCAGTCTTTGCCATATTTATCTACTCAATTACACAGTTTTCATCCACTCATGGCTTGACAGAACATCAGGTATACTTTTTCTTCAGCCTTTTAATAAAGCCATATCATAATATTGGTATTATTAAAAGTAAAATAAATTTAAATATCTGGAAATATAAAATCTATATATAGTCAAGTCAATGTTCACATATTATACATTTTTTACTGAAAATTATATTATACATTTTTTACTGAAAATGATAGAAAAGTATATGTTCATGCTTTTTTCTAGTCCCCTTTCCTGTAACACACACACAGACACACACACCCAACCTGTCTTTGCAGCTTTTACTTTTCAGCATCTATAGCCTGTGTACTCCAGCAGTTTAAAATCTTTCTCTTTGCACAGCAGATAAAAACCACATTGAAGCTGTTAACCTTATAAATCCCCAAAGCGTTTACTGTAGGGTATGTGGACATAGCTTTTGACAGGAATAGAATTTCAACAATGCAACCCAGTGATATGAGGTATTCTCACAAATACTACCTGCAAGGCCAAATCATTCTGTCATCAAACGTTTACATTTAACATACAAAATGAATGAGTGTGGTTGTCAGTTGGCTATGACTTTTTTTAAAAGGTACATAATGGCCCACACAGCTTGGGTTCTTTAGGGTGGATAGAACTTAGCTCTTCAAGTTTTAGGAAGACATGCCCAATCCGTTAGAGTGTGCTGGGTCTCTATGGTTCATTGTCTGTCCTATTGCAATCCTTCTTATTTAATCTTCTCTAGTCTTACCAGATCAAACCATCTAAATGTTTTTACATCTTCAACTGTTTGTTTTGTTATCGACTAGAAAGCTCTTCTCAATAACACTCATGGTTTGCTCTCACTTCCTTATGATCTGTGCCCTAGAAACTCTGGGGTGGTGTGGCAGAGATATTTTCTCTGCTGTGGTGAGGCAGAGATATTTTTCTGCATCATCGATTGTATTTCCTATACTATCACCACCTGGAAGTGAAGAAAGAGAAGGTAAGCACATCTATAATTTCTTTGTCTCATGTAATACATGCACCATGTCCACAGAATCATAAAACATTAAGGTATAAGTACATCTAAAGATTAGGAAGCCTGTACTCTTACTCCTATGTTAGACTGGAATCTGCTCTGACAGTTTTCGCTAATTAGTGAGTTTATTCATCTATGATTTCAGCAAAACAAGATCAAAAAGTTCATTTATTTATTTATTCATTCATTAATTGAATATTTATTCAGTGATATACTCCACAGACAGAACACAAAAGTGAAAAGTTAAAATCCTTGCTCTTATTACCTTTGGATTATCATGGAAGGAGAGAGACAAAATAAAAAAAAATTAAGTAAAAAGACATGATGTTAGATATTGGTAAGAACTATGAATGAAAACAAAGCAAGCTACAGAGAAGGGCATTGTTAAATAGAATGGGGAGCTCAATTTTAAATAAGATCATGGTAAAGGCCTCACTGAGGAAGTTTCTGGGGCACACATCATAAGGAAGTGAGAGCAAACCATGAGTGTTATTAAGAAGAGCTTTCTAGTCGATAACAAAACAAACAGCTGAAGATGTAAAAACGTTTAGATGGTATGATCTGGTAAGACTAGAGAAGATTAAATAAGAAGGATTGCAATAGGACATGAAGTTAGGTAATGTTGGAAGGGAAAGGTATAGATGTTGAAAGACTTTCTGGACTATTTCAATAAATTTTGCTTCTTTGAATGATATGGGAAGACGTTAATGTCCTTTGGAGCATAAAACTGACATTGGACAGATATTTCAAAAGATATATAGCTAGATAGAATCAAAATAGATTAATAAATTATAGCTAGCTAGATATATAGATAAATAGAAAGTATTTTCATCAATGCTGGGTAAAAAGTATATAATGAGGGTCATTATTGTAAGTACAAGACAAAATTAGGCCATTGCAATTATCTACAGTAGGAATGATGTTGGCTTAAAATCATGTTGCTCTGTTGGAGATAGTAAACTGTTAGCTAAATTTTGACTATATTTTATTTTTTTTTTCAGTGAAGAATTCTTTATCTTCATTTAATGAATTTTGACCACATTTTAAAAGTAAATCTGATAGGATTTGGCACCAAATTGAAAGTTGGTTACAAAGAAGAAGAAATGATGATAAAAAGACTTCTAGCCTAAGCAGCTAGAAGGATGGCTTAGCTATAATCAAGATGGAAAATATTTCAAGAAAAGAAAGTCTTGGTGGATACAAGTCTTATTTGAAGAAAAGTAAGTGGAAGATGCATTTTGAATATTCAGGTAAAGATATTGAGTAGGTGGTATTGTGCAGGTGTGGAATTTAGGGATTTGGGAGAGAAGACCAAGCTGGAGAAATATTTTTATAGGTTATTGACATGTATATAATATTTAAAGCCATGATTGTCAAGGAGTGGATTTATATGAGGGTATAAATTGTCCTCTGTGCCCAGAGATTCTACAATATTGAGGTGTCAGAAAGCTAAAACAGGGTAGCTATTGACAAAATAGGAAAACCACCATGAGAGTGAAGTGTCCTGCAAAGTAATCGAAGAAGTACTTTGAGGAAGTGGGAATGATCACTGCATAAAATCATGATGATATATAAACATTGATTAAAACTGAGGATTGCTATTGGGTTTAGAATTGTAAAAATTACTGGTGATTTTGATGGAAGTAGTTGGCAGTGAAATTCTCATTGTAATATCTTCAAGGAAAATAGGAAAAGAAATGCAAATAGTTCATTTAAAAAACTGTTTTAAGCTGATTTCCAGTTGAAAAGGGTAGAGAAAAAGGGTGATAGCTGGAAAGAAAAGGGAAAGGGACCAAAAGTTATGTGCGTGTGTGTGTATTTTAGGACAGAAAATATCAGGGACAGAAAGAGCCAGATGAAGGAATAAGATTCTCTGGAGTTATCCAGCTACAGAAACATCAATTTGAACAACTTGAATGGAGGTATCCACACATACTCTCACAAGAGGTAAGGATACCAGACAAAAGGTCATTGTACCTGGTTGCAGTAAAATTATAAGAAAAGATGCATTGAAGAGTGTAGGAAGGGCAGTTTTGCATTACCTGTGTCACCTTTACCCCAAGCCCAGGAAGCACAGTGCAGGGAGATACTGTCGACTTGGAGGAACAAAAGGCAAGTGAGCACAGGACTTTACCTGGTACCCTACCACTGGGCCCACCAGCACCAGGAATATTTCCATGCCTCATATGATTTAAGCAGCTGGTATCTGCTTTCTGAGCTTCTATATCCACCCTGGTGCCAGGCAGAACCACACTACTTCAGGTTTCAGGGTTGCATTATGAAGTTGATCTCAAGCTCATACCACTTCCGGGCCATTGTAAGCAGCGCCAGGCTCCAGAAAGCCCTTAGCAGGAGGCAGGCCTCAATGGCCCCTGACTTCAGGTGTGCCCCAGCACTGTGCTGGCCACATCTTCCATGGGCTTCTGGCCTACCCCAGCACCCTGCCTCCCACAAGGCTTTCTCAGACAAAGCCAATCTGCAAAGACTGGAGTAAGTAACTAACTTCTTCAAATGTATAGATGTTGACACATGAATACAGGGATGAATAACACTTGTGGAAACATAACATAACAGAAAAGACAAAATAAGGGGCCACTGGTTGACCCTAAAAAACTGGAAATGCATAAACTGCCTGACAAAAATTCAAAACAACTGTTTTATGGAAGCTCAGCAAACTTAAAGAAAATATGGAGAAACAATTCAATGAAATGAGGAAAATAATAAGTGACCAGAATGAGAAATATGATACAGAGATTGAAATATAAAAGAAATCAAAAAGAAACCCTGGAGGTAAAATTACAACGAATAAAATAAAAACTGTAACAGAAAGCATCAATAGCAGACATAATCAGGCAAGGGAAAGAACTGTAAACTCTGAGACAGGTTATTTGAAAATATACGGGCAGAAGAGAAAAAAGCAAAAAAAAGATAAAGAATGCTTACAGAAATGATGGAATAGCATCAAAAGATTAAATTTTCAAGTCATGAAGTTTCAATAAAAAAAAAGAGATAAAGGAGTAGAAAGCTTATTTAAAGAAATAGTAGCAGAAAACTTTCTAAACCTGGTGAAAGGGATAAACATCTATGTATATGAAGGGCAAATACTGCCAATCAGATTTAATAGAAATAAGACTATTCAAAGACATATTCAAACTGTCCAAAGTTAAAGACAAGAGAGAATCCTTAAAGAAACAAAAGAAATAAAGCAAAGTATATGTTAAGAAGTTCCAATATGCGTACCGGCACACTTCACAGCAGAAACCTTAGAGGCCAGGAGGAAGAAAAGCTGAAAGCTTATCTTCAAAGATATGGAACAAAACAAGAATGCCCACTCTCACTACTTCTATTCAACATAGCACTAGAGTGCAAGTCAGGCAATTAGGCAAGAGAAAAAAATAAAAGGCATCCAATTGGAGAAAAAGGAATTTAAATTGTCCCTATTAAATTGTCAAAGTGCTGAGGAAAAAAAAAAAAAAACACTTTAAACCAAGAATGCTGCACCCAGCCAAACTGGTCTTAATAAATGAAGATGAGATAAAGACTTTTCCAGGCAAACCAAAACTGAGGGAGTTTATTACCACCAACCTGATTGAAATGAAATTCTGAAGGGAGTTCTTCAAATTGAAAGAAAGGATGTGAGTGAGTAACATGAAAACATGTGAAAGTATTAAACTTAAATTGACTCTTTAAACTCAGAATACTTTAATACTGTAATAGTGGTGTGTAAATCACATATGTCTTCAGTATAAAGGTTAAAAGACAAAACCATTATAAAAATCATAGCTACAATAATTTGTTAAGGGATATATAGCATAAAAGGCAGTAAATTATAACACCAAAAATTTCAAAGTGTGGGAGAAAGATTAAAGTATAGAAAGTTTTTTACCTGTTTGTTTCTTTGTGATCAAAGGTGTCATCAGCTTAAAAATAACCTGTCGTTACCATTCCTTCTGAAACTATTCCAATCAATAGAAAAAGAGGGCATCCTCCCTAACTCATTTTATGAGGCCAGCATCATCCTGATACCAAAGCCTGGCAGAGACACACACACAAAAAAAGAGAATTTTAGACCAATATCCTTGATGAACATCGAGGCAAAAATCCTCAATAAAATACTGGCAAACCGAATCCAGCAGCACATCAAAAAGCTTATCCACCATGATCAAGTGGGCTTCATCCCTGGGATGCAAGGCTGGTTCAACATACACAAATCAATAAATGTAATCCAGCATATAAACAGAACCAAAGACAAAAACCACATGATTATCTCAATAGATGCAGAAAAGGCCTTTGACAAAATTCAACAACCCTTCATGCTAAAAACTCTCAATAAATTAGGTATTGATGGGAGCTATCTAAAAATAATAAGAGCAATCTATGACAAACCCACAGCCAATATCATACTGAATGGACAAAAACTGGAAGCATTCTCTTTGAAAACTGGCACAAGACAGGGATGCCCTCTCTCACCACTCTTTTCAACATAGTGTTGGAAGTTCTGGCCAGGGCAATCAGGCAGGAGAAGGAAATAAAGGGCATTCAGTTAGGAAAGAGGAAGTCAAACTGTCCCTGTTTGCAGATGACATGATTGTATATCTAGAAAACCCCATAGTCTCAGCCCAAAATCTCCTTAAGCTGATAAGCAACTTCAGCAAAGTCTCAGGATACAAAATCAATGTGCAAAAATCACAAGCATTCTTATACACCAATAACAGACAAACAGAGAGCCAAATCATGAGTGAACTCCCATTCACAACTGCTTCAAAGAGAATAAAATACCTAGGAATCCAACTTACAAGGGAGGTGAAGGACCTCTTCAAGGAGAACTACAAACCACTGCTCAACGAAATCAAAGAGGATACAAACAAATGGAAGAACATTCCATGCTCATGGGTAGGAAGAATCAATATCATGAAAATGGCAATACTGCCCAAGGTAATTTATAGATTCAATGCCATCCCCATCAAGCTACCAATGACTTTCTTCACAGAATTGGAAAAAACTACTTTAAACTTCATATGGAACCAAAAAAGAGCCTGCATTGCCAAATCAATCCTAAGCCAAAAGAACAAAGCTGGAGGCATCATGCTACCTGACTTCAAACTATACTACAAGGCTACAGTAACCAAAACAGCATGGTACTGGTACCAAAACAGACATAAAAACCAATGGAACAGAACAGAGCCCTCAGAAATAACGCCGCGTATCTACAACTATCTGATCTTTGACAAACCTGAGAAAAACAAGCAATGGGGAAAGGATTCCCTATTTAATAAATGGTGCTGGGAAAACTGGCTAGCCATATGCAGAAAGCTGAAACTGGACCCCTTCCTTATACCTTATACAAAAATTAATACAATATGGATTAAAGACTTACATGTTAGACCTAAAACCATAAAAATCCTAGAAGAAAACCTAGGCAATGCCATTCAGGACATAGGCATGGTCAAGGACTTCATGTCTAAAACACCAAAAGCAATGGCAACAAAAGCCAAAATTGACAAACGGGATCTAATTAAACTAAAGAGCTTCTGCACAGCAAAAGAAACCACCATCAGAGTGAACAGGCAACCTACAGAATGGGAGAAAATTTTTGCAACCTACTCATCTGACAAAGGGCTAATATCCAGAGTCTACAATGAACTCAAACAAATTTACAAGAAAAAAACAAACAAACCCATCAAAAAGTGGGCGAAGGACATGAACAGACACTTCTCAAAAGAAGATATTTATGCAGCCAAAAAACACATGAAAAAATGCTCATCATCACTGGCCATCAGAGAAATGCAAATCAAAACCACAATGAGATACCATCTCACATCAGTTAGAATAGCGTTCATTAAAAAGTCAGGAAACAACAGGTGCTGGAGAGGATGTGGAGAAATAGGAACACTTTTACACTGTTGGTGGGACTGTAAACTCGTTCAACCATTGTGGAAGTCAGTGTGGTGATTCCTCAGGGATCTAGAACTAGAAATACCATTTGACCCAGCCATCCCATTACTGGGTATATACCAAAAGGATTATAAATCATGCTGCTATAAAGACACATGCACAAGTACGTTTATTGCGGCATTATTCACAATAGCAAAGACTTGGAACCAACCCAAATGTCCAACAATGATTGACTGGATTAAGAAAATGTGGCACATATACACCATGGAATACTATGCAGCCATAAAAAATGATGAGTTCATGTCCTTTGTAGGGACATGGATGAAGCTGGAAACTATCATTCTCAGCAAACTATCGCAAGGACAAAAAACCAAACACTGCATGTTCTCACTCATAGGTGGGAAGTGAACAATGAGAACACATGGATACAGGAAGGGGAACACCACACACCGGGGACTGTTGTGGGGTAGGGGGTGTGGGGAGGGATAGCATTAGGAGATATACCTAATGCTAAATGACGAGTTAATGGGTGCAGCACACCAACATGGCACATGTATACATATGTAACAAACCTGCACGTTGTGCACATGTACCCTAAAACTTAAAGTATAATAATAATAATAAATAAATAAATAACTAAAATAAAAATAACCTGTCGTAACTATAAGGTTTTTTGTAAACTTCATGTTGAGCACAAAACAAAACTTACAGTACATATGTGCAAAAACCGGCTAATAATCTAAACATATCACCAGAGAAAATTATTTAACTCGAAGAAAGATATTAAGAGAAGAAAAAAACAAAACATCTACAAAACATCTAAACACAATAAATAAAATGGCAGAAGTATGTCCTTACCTACCAATCATTACTCTAAATGTAAATGGATTAAATTCTCCAAACAAAAGACATAGAGTCGAATAACATGGAAGAGACAAATTTCTGGACATAAACAATATATCAAGATTGAATTATGATAAAAATTAAAAACCTGAATACACTAATAAGGAGATTGAATCAGTAATATAAAGCCTACTATCAAAGAAGTGTAAAACATAATGGTTTGACTGCTGCCAAACATTTTAAAATATATATATTAGTTATTCTCAAACTGATACAAAAATTGAAGACAAAGAAACACTTTCAAACTCATTTTCATAATGCCAAGATTACCCTGATAGCAAAACCAGACAAGGACACAACACAAAAAGAAAACTGAAGGCCAATATCTCTGATGAACATAGATGCAAAAATTTGCAACAAAATACTAGCTGATGTAATTCAACAGCCTATTAAAAAATTATTTATTGCTTCTTGGTCTTTGTCTATGATCAAGTGTAGTAAAAGTTCATTAATCAAGATCAAGTGGGATTTATCCCAGGGATGTAAGAATTATTGAGCATACCTAAGTCAATAAACATAATATATTACATTCACATAACAAAGGACAAAACAATACAATTACCTGGATATATGAAGAAAAAGTATGTTACAAAACTCAACATTCATGACAAAAACTCTCAACAAATTAGGTATAGAAGGAATGTACCTGAACATAATTAAGGTAATGTATTACAAACCAATAGCTATCATCATTCTTAATGGGGGAAAAGTTGAAAGCTTTTCTTCTAAGATCTGGACCAAGAAAAGAATGCCCACTCTCACCACCTCTATTCAACCTAGTACTAGAGTCCAAGTCAGGCAATTAGGCAACAGAAAAAAATAAAAGGCATCCAAATGGAAGAAAAAAAAAAAAAGAAGTTAAATTGTCTGTGTTTGCAGACAGTATGACTTTATACATAGAAACCCCCTTACAAACAATGAGAAACCCTGTCTCTACTAAAAATACAAAATTATCCGGGCATGGTGGTACATGCCTGTAATCTCAGGTCCTCAAGAGACTGAGGCAGAAGAATAGCTTGAACTCCGGAGGCGGAGGTTGCGGTGAGCTGAGATCATGCCATTGCACTCCAGCCTGGGCAACAAGAGTGAAACTCTGTCACAAAACAGGAACAAAAACAGCTAAAGATTTGACCAAAAAAACCTATTAGAACTAATAAACAAATTCAGTAAAGTTTCAGGGTACAAATTCCAAAATAACAATCAATAGTGTTTCTATACACTAACCTCAAGCTATCTTTAAAAAATCAAGAAAACAATCACATTTACAATAGGTACAAAAATAATTAGGAATAAATTTAACCAAGGAGGTGACCTCTACACAGAAAACTATAAATCGTTGATGAAAGACAATGAGGAAAACACAAAAAATGGGAATACATCTGTGTTCATGGACTGAACAAATTAATATTGTTAAACTGTGCTAGCCAATACAATCTACAGATTCAACTCAATTCCTATCAAAACACTAGTGACCTTCTTCACAGAAATAGAAAAAAAATTCCTAAAATTAGTATGGAACCACAAAAGACCCTGAATAATCAAAGCAATCTTGAGTAAAATAAACAAAGATGGAAGTGTCACACTGCCTGACTTCAAAATATATTACAAAGATATAGTAAAAAAGCAGCAAACTACTGGCATGGAAACAGACACATAGACCAATTGAACTGAATGGAGAGCCCAGAAATAAATCTATACATTTAAAGCCAGCTGTTTTATGACAAAGGTGCTAAGAATACATAATAGGGAAAGAACAGTCTCTTCAATAATTGGTATTGGGAGAACTGGATATCCACATGCAGAGGAATGAAATTAGACCCCTTTCCCACACTATATAAAAATTTCAACTCAACAAAAAGACTTAAATGTAAGACCTGAAACTATGAAACTACTATAAGAAAACTTAGGGGAAAAGTTACATGACATTGGAGTAGGGAATGAATTTTTTGATAAGATCCCCAAAACACAGGCAATAAGAGCCAAAATACACAAATAGTATTACACCAAACTAAAAAGCTTCCATACAGCAATAAATAAATAAATAATACATAAATAGCAGAGTAAAGAGATAATCTACAGAATGGGAGAAGATAGTTATAAACTACATTTGACAAGGGGTTAGTATCCAAAATACATGAGGAACCCAAACAACACAATAGCAGGAAAGCAGATTACATAATTTAAAAATTGGCAAAGTAAATGAATAGAAATCTCTCAAAAGAAGACATATAGTAAGATAGAAGGAATAAATTTAATGTTTGATAGCAGAGCAGGGTAATTATGCTTAAGGAACATGTTTTGTACTTGGATGATAAACATCCTAGGTACTCTGACTTAATCATTACACCTGAAATACATGTAACACAATCTCACATGTAGCCCATAAACTTGTACACAAAAGAAGACATAAAAATGGCCAATAGATATAGAAAAAATGTAATTTCTAATAATCAGGAAAATGCAAATTAAAAACACAAAGAGTGATTATCTCATACTTTTTACAATGGCTATTATCCAAAAGACAAAAGGTAAACTTTGTTGGTGAGGATGCTATTAGTGAGAATGTAAATTAGCATAGCCTTTATAGAAAACTGTATAGAGTTTCTTCTAAGTATTAAAATTACCATGTGACCTACCAATCTAATTATTAGTTATATAATCATAGGAAATGAAATCAGTATACCTTAAAGATATCTATCCTCCCATATTTATCATAAGATTATTCACAGTAGCAAAACTACAGGATTTAACTGTTTATCAACAGATGAATCCCTAAAGAACATGTAGTATATACACATTGGAATGCTACTCAGCCATAGAAAAAAGAAAAACCTGTAATTTATAATAACATCAATGAACCTAGAGGACATTATACTAAGTGAAATAGACCAGGCACAGAAAGACAAATGCCATGTATCTCACTCATATTTGGAATCTAAAAAAGTAGATCTCACCGAAGCAGACAGTAAAACGGTGGTTACTGGAGCTTGGGTGGCTGGGAAGGTGGGTTGGAGAGATGTTGGACAAATGTTATCAAATTAAAGTTAAGTAGGAGAAATAAGTTCAACAGATCTACTGTAACGTGGCAATAATAGTTCACAGCGTATTGTGGAAATACATTGAGAAATGCTAAGAGAGTTAATTATAAAGTATTCTCACAACAAAATAGTAATTATGTGAGGTCATGCACATATTAATTAGAATTAGTCATTTTACAATGTATATATACTTCAAAACATCATGTTGTACCTGGTAAATACATAAAATTTTATCTGTCTATTTAAAATAAAGAAAGAAAAAAGAAAAAAAAAAGTAAGCATATTGCAAGTTTGTTGCCCTCTGTGGAAATGGTACCATGTTAAATTCATATCAATCTATTTTAATGAGTTTTGACTTTTACATTTTAATTATCCATTAAACTTTCTCATCAACTCTGTTATAATATTCTTAAAATTGAGAACATTGTTCAGTGACTTTCCTACTCCTGCCAAACCATCAAAAACAATTCTGAAATTCAAACCTCACTTCTATTGGAGTATGGTAGAGTCAATAAAAATACAAATGTCTTCCTAAATTTCGCAAGTTAATGCAGTTATTTTTCCTAAATTCAGAGATATAAATTTCATTTTCTACATCTCAATACTTAAACATTAAAGTTTACATAATATGGGATATGTGTGCTGCTTTTAATTTTTTTTCCTTCTAGTGTTAACAAATCTTACTCTTTTACGATATAGAAGAGGTATTTCAATTGAAATTACTGACTTTAGTCACATTTTAAAATGTGGATCCATAGTTACATTAAACAAGTTATTTGTACTTATTTTCGTTTCAATTTAACACAAAAGAAATACTTCTGAGATAATGACTACTCTGTACATATATTTAAATGGCCTTCTGGGGTACAATAAGGACTAAAATCAAAGATTAAATCACACAAATAGGTTTTTAGAAATTTGAAATGTCAACTGTATTTGTCAACTATGGTCACAAAAAATACTTCATAACAAATCACTTATTACTGTGTGTATCTAGTATATCCATGAGAGGTAGAAAAAGTAGTCTCAACACTTTGGCACCAAGGACCAGTTTCGCGGAAGACAATTTTTCCACGGACGGGGAAGGGATGGCTCATAAGGAGCAGGCAACCAAGATCATTTGCATGCACAGCTAACAATGATAGGGTGAGTGCTCCTGTGAGAATCTAATGCCACCCCTGTGTGGCCCAGTTCCTAACAGGCCATGGACGGGTCTGCAGCCCAGGGATTATGGACCCCTGCAATATATCGGTAGTGGGCAGGACTACAAAGTTGCTTGGCAGACAGAGTAGATAAAGAGAGTTGGGAAAAATTGGGAACAATGTTGCAATCCACTTTGTTTCTACCCTGCTATTTCTGTTTGCTGTTTTTGTTGTTGTTGTTGTTGTTGTTGTTGTTGTTGTTGTTGTTTTCCTGACTGATAACTATCCACAGTTCAGGACATATCTTAAGTAGGCAACATTAAAAATAAGGTGATAATATGGGAAGTACTTAAACTAGTATACCTTTAATTATTAAATATAGAAAAATATTGTGACTGAGACCAGAGTTTTTGAAATCAGGCAAGCAGGAATTCCTATGTCAGCCCCTTCATTCAATTAAGCATGTGTCCTTGGAAAAAAATGTATCTTCTTGTTTTTTTTTATTGTATTTATGTTAGTTTGGATTTTATATATTTGTGTAGTTTTTTTTTTTTTTCTGTTGCTTCTGGTAAATTGAAAGCTTCACACAGACATAGACATAATAGGGAGTCAACAAGTACAAGGTGAAGGAAAAAATAAAATCGTGAGTAAGAATTTGCCAGGTGGAAAGAAACAGAAAATTCCAAGAGGAGACAAAAAGGGAGTAGTGGGATCTGAGGTGGTAAGGAATGCAGTATGGAGTCCTGAAAGTGGTCTGTTTAGTGTGATTGGCTGAGAGGGACATGGCAGAAGAGGTAGTTTAGCAGCAAGCAGTATTCTCATCACATAAAGACATGACAATCATTTTTTAGTAGTTTTAAGAATAATGAGATTCTATTTATATGTTTTAAACAGATAAGTTATATTATCATATATCCCTTTAAAAAACAGCACTGTGGTTTCCATCAGAGAGGTCTGGGAAGATGGGGCTACACATAAGTTCATTCAGCCCCACACACACTACTCTACCCTCCTTCCTAAGCCAAGCAGTTTAGGGAGCAAGGCAGCCTTGAACTCTGAGGAAGTCTCAGTAGGCAGTTGATGGATTTTTCTCCCATAGGTCTACTAAGCACCTGGAGAGTGTGATTAACAGGAGGGTAACCTAGACTGGGTGTGAGTGTGTCTGTTATTCCTTGACCTCGCATAGCTGAGAAATAATTGATTGCCTCAGCTGGGTTCTTCTTCTGCTGTTGGGTCTGGAGGAGCTTGAGGAACTTAAAGAATGGAAAGAGAAGTTCCTCCAGATTTTCCCACTGCCCACCTAGCCCCCAGGGATAAAGTCATTTTTGTCTTGCTTGTAAAAAATGAGGCTCATTACATCACACCAACACATATTCTGGGATGGAAAAATTTCTATTTTTTAAACTAACAAATACAAGTTCATAACTGATGATTTTCCTTTGTCCCAGAAAATCAAGTAGAATAATAATTCAAAGTATCAAGCAAAAATAAAGTGATATAAAATGCAGGAAGGAAAATACAAGACTTGAAAAAATTTCAGAATATCTAATATTATAATATCAGGACTTTTAGAAGGAGAAAAGTATTGGATGAAGGGCAGGCAATCCTTAGACACATAATAGAAGGCAATTTTCTGGCTAAGAAGAAAACTGAATATGCAGATTGAAAAGGCAAGAACAGAAGTCCCAAGAGAAGTTTGCCTGTCTTGCTCACCACTGAGTCCCCTGGGCAAGAAAACTATCGGGCACATAGTAGATGTTAAATGGATTTTATTATGTGAATTAATAAATCTAAAATTTGCTTCGGGCTGAATTTCACATAATTTTTTAAGGTCTAGTGATAAAATGACATATAATTTCCTTAAGGGAAAGGAGATTGGAATGGAGAAAAAAAAAGGTAACTGCATTCAAATAAGAAACACAGATGGAACATTGGTGTTTTCTTCAATATGCCTCAACGTACTATAAAACCCTGAATACAAAAGGTGATAAAATATTGTTGATCATTCATACAGGTCATAAGCACTATTAGTCAGTGATGCTATGCCATACCAAATTAAAAATGGCCAAATTGATATAAAAGTATGTTTAGATTACATACGAAAAATGTAGAAATGTTATTGTACAGAAATACTTGCAATATAATTGGATGAATAAGTGTCCTTTATTCTTAGCCAAAAAGTGGACATTTAATATAGCAGTTTCTTAATTTCCTTTTATGAAAGGCCCCCATATACTTGCTAAATTTTAAGTAACATGCTTTACATCAGCATATGGCCATTGGATGCTGTGGGAATGAGGAGAGAACCAGAGAAGAAAGATTCATCACTGTGGTTTTGTCCTTAGTCATGGATCACACATCTCCTTTTGAATGACTAAGGCAGCACAGGATAGGAGTAGTGAATTGAATTTAATGTTTCTGGGTTTAAAAAAAAACTGATTTTGTTTCCAAAATCTTATGTTTTTTTTTTTTATTGTTGACTGCTGTATATAAGGATGGTTGTTGTTTCTTGGAGTCTTGAAAAATGTTAAAAATGTTGCAGTGGCGTCTTCCTAAAGCTACTAATTTTACTATATGAAGTTATAATAAAGTATAGACTGGTCAAAAAACTATGGGTTCCTTTTTAAAAAATCTCAAAAAAATTAACTGGTTTTAGAAAGCAAATTCCTCAAGTTCCTATTTCAAACTGTGTAAAGAAGTATTGCATTCTCCCTCTCTGAATATGTTTAACAATACTTTCAAATAATTTTATATACCTCCCATTCTCCTTTGGTATATAAGAATGTATAAAAAAGAAATAACAGCAACTTTTGAAAGGTCTCTTTAGGATTGTAAACATCTCTGTTATGGCTTTTATGGGATAAAATCACTTATCATATTTTTAACATTGTTCTAATTTTAAATATTTATTGACTCCTTTTACCCCAGGTAATTTTGTCTATATTATCCATCATCTTATATGATGTTAATTCTTTACAAATGATGAAGTGTCCCATTGTAAATATGAGTGTGCTGTACTACCAAACTCAGGAATTTTATTAGTACCATTTTTATTAATATTATGTACACACTTGATGGAAGGTTACTAAACTGGCCTATAAAAAACTTTGAGACAACTAATTAATCAAATTGCTTTGAACATAAACCTTATGCCATTGATGCTTGATTAATAAAAACTCGCAATCCTGTATCCTGAAACAGAGCCAAAGAATGATTTCGTGGAAAACAAAATGAATTTTTCCTCATTTTGGACTTTTTGGAATTAAATTCCACTACAACTAAATATTAACAGTAAGGTGATAATACTCTTTGGTAAAATGGAAATTTGTTTAACACTAATGGCAAAAGCATGTAAGTAGAGAAATACACCATATATAACTTTTGAGAAACGCTAAAATAACTCATTCTGCTGATTATGTATTAGCTTGATAGCAAATGTTTGTTTTGTTTAGGATCACATTTTTCTTTTAATAACCAAAATGACATGAGTGTTTTTCTCTCACTAACAAGCTTACTTTTAACATTGCCATAGAGTTTCAATTTCTGGTTTAAAAAAACCCAAAAATTTGATATAGAGCACCCTAGAAATCCCCATCTTCAACACCTGATGCCTTTGCAATCTTACCTTCCACAGAACTTATGCCATCAAAGCACGGTGAATCATTAAGCTGTATAGTTCCATGTGGGAAGGGCTTGTAATCTGATGTTTTGTGTAACTTTACTTATCTCCATTTCACAGAAACACTGTACTAATAACCGAGAATCCTGAGATTTTTAACTCAAAGCAATGTATCCCTTCCAAAAATCAACCTTTGGACTGATTTTCTCCAAATATTTTTAGGAAAATTCAGTTAATGTTTTTTTTTTTCTTCTTTTTAATCTTCTACCCGTGGTCCCTGGGAAAATGTCAGAGCCCTGGAGAAATTTGAAATTTAGCATATCTCCCTCTTTTCTTGTATATCTATCTATCTATCTATCTATCTATCTATCTATCTATCTATCTATCTCTGTGTTCTTAATTGGATGCCATACTTAGACTTCGTTTTTGGGCAACAGAATCATTATTGATCACTTCCCTTTTATGTATATTAGATCAAATCAGACTGTGCTCTACCTAACCAGATTAATCTGCTGAAGAAATTTTTGTATTTGGGATAATGTGAAGTGACTAAAGTGTCGCCTATGTCATCCTAAAATGGCTATTCACTTTCAAACTATTCTCTTTAAAATACAGATTCACATAGGCTTAGTTGGGGGACAATATTTAGAAGCAGGTAGGACTTCCTACCATCGTTTAAATGACAGTGTGGATGAAGCCACCATCTATGCCTCATAATGAGGAAATTTCTGATTTTTATCTGCTTTCAAAGGCTAATTTAAAAACCAGGTAAACAAGAGTGGAAAAGAGTTTGGGCAGAAGTGGGGAGTGATGACATAAGTTTTATTTAAAAAAACTTTCATCGGAAACTCAAAAGCATAGATTTCTGGTGCCATGATAAAGATCTACCATGGCACCATGACTTTTCTCAGATCACAATGTATTCTCAAGAATTTTTGAAAGCATATTGTTCTTTAAGCAAGAACATGTCAGGAATATTGCTATTCATTAAGCTAAAACTCCATGTAGTTCTCAGAGAATTAGATTTATTCATTCGATCAACAAATTTTTTGAGTTCCTCAAAAGATTATGCTTGTTGATAAATAAGACAGTTCCTAATGTTATATATATGCACACATATATTTATGATTTAGGATATCAAGAATTTTCATGATGTACATTTTTATTTGTTATTAGGAACACATTTATATTAATAAATATTTTCAATTAAAGTATTACCGATTGCTTATTCTTGAGATTTAATTCATTAAGTTAAAAGTAATACATTAACATATTAAAAATTATATCATTCTGGGAGATTAATTTAAAAAAAGCCATCCCTCACTCCATCCTAACTTCTCCCCACTTTGAATATAAAAGGTCAACATGTAACTGTTTTAGATCACTTTGATTTTTTTTTCTTGGCAGTCACCGTCATGTCACAAAATAATATGCTCATAATGTTAACCCTTAACTTATCAATATGAATTTCTGTAATTTCTTAGCTTGGATCCATTTTCTTTCTAAAAAACATGTCTCTTAGATTTCACACTTAGGATTTTTTGGTTTACCTTTTGAGTTTGCTGGAGCACAATTTCAAGCAACTTCCTAATAGAAAGGTATAAAAGAGGTAATTTTTCTGTGATTTTTCTGTTTGAAATCCTTATTCTAAATACATATATGATTAATAAATTTATAACTTATGAATATATAGGTTAAAAACATTTTAATAAATTTCTAATTGATATTATTTATTCTGATTATTGTTTTTATATAAATGACTATGTCTTCCTGTGTCCACTTTTATCTTCTTTGATTTATTCAAATCTTCCTGAAGTGATGATGCATCTTTGGGTGTCATTTTATACATACTGTGTTAGATTGTCAGCTAGGCCTTTTTTGATGTCATTTTTATTTCTACATTATGCAACATTTAGTTAACTTTTTAAGCCTTCTACTTTACTTTAATTTTAGAAACTATCATCAGAATGAACAGGCAACCTACAGAATGGGAGAAAATTTTTGCAATCTACCCATCTGACAAAGGTCTAATCCATAATCTACAAGGAATTTAAACAAGAAAAAAAAAACAACCCCATCAAAAAGCTGTCAAAGGATATGAACAGACACTTTTCAAAAGAAGACATTTATGCAGCCAACAAACATGACAAAAAGTTCATCACCACTGGTCATTAGAGAAATGCAAATTAAAACCACAATGAGATACCATCTCACACCAGTTAGAATGGCAATCACTAAAAGGTCAGGAAACAACAGATGCTGGAGAGGATCTGGAGAAATAAGAGTGCTTTTACACTGTTGATGGGAGTGTAAATTATTTCAACCATTGTGGAAGACAGTGATTACTCAAGGATCTAGACCTAGAAATGCCATTTGACCCAGCAATCTTATTTCTGGGTATATACCCAAAGGATTATAAATCACTGTACTATAAAGATACATGCACAAGTATGTTTACTGCAGCACTATTCACAATAGCAAAGACTTGGAACCAACCCAAATGCCCATCAATGATAGACTGGATAAAGAAAATGTGGCACATATACACCATGGAATACTATGCAGCCATAAAAAGGATGAGTTCATGTCCTTTGCAAGGACATGGATGAAGCTGGAAACCATCATTCTCAGCAAAATAACACAGGAACAGAAAACCAAATACTACATGCTTTTACTCATAAGTGATAGTTGAACAATGAGAACATACCGGCACAGGGAGGGAAGCATCACACACTGGGGCCTGACAGGGGGTTGGGGGGCAAGAGGAGTGATAGTATTAGGAATAATACCTAATGTAGATGACGGGTTGATGGGTGCAGCAAACCACCATGGCACATGAATACCTATGTAACAAATCTGCATGTTCTGCACATGTATCCCATAACTTAAGTATAATAAAAAAGAATGAAAAATAATAATAATTTTCCAATAACGTATTTGTATTCAATGTGTTCAGAAAAGCAGATGATGGGAAGAAAAAAAGTTTACTATACATTTTTGAATTGTTGAAATTTAAAGGTAAGTGCATTTTTAGGAAACCCAGAACCTTATCTATGAATAAGATTAGAAAGTAATAATAAAACAATTTCTGGTATTGTGATTATAGAATACTGTTGAGAATATTCGTTGATACAATTTTCCTGGAGGACACTTGTGTTTTTAAAGTCGGAGAACTTTAACGCTATACATATCAACGAACTACATACACACAAAAAGTCTACTTTAAGAAATTTAAAATTAGGAAATTATGAGAATACCATCAAAAAGTATATAGACAAATTTGTATTTTGTATAGCCACCTCCATAGCTTCCATAACTTTTGTCATAAAGGAAAATTCCTTTATCTTGCCCTTCAGTGTCTATCAATGATATAATCGTTCTTGGTAATAATTATGCAGGTGGTATATGATACAACTCTAGCAATTATAAGAGAATTAGAAAATACTTAGGCTAAACTTTTAAGAATAGAAAGTTTTATCTTTATTAGGGCATTTTTGTTTGTGAAATGAACAGTGTTATCTTCTAAATTAATTGGGAAAGGATAAGAATGCAAGAGTAAGGCTCAATTTGACTAAGAACTTCAGGTCAGATAAGTTGCCATCAGTGAGTGTATCAAAGATATATAAGTGCTTAGTTCTACATAAGTTCAGAGGGACTTTCTAAAATTTACGTGATTTTCCAAAGCTCTAGAAAATTCTACAGGATTCAAGGAGAAACATTACAGAAGCAATGTCAACGGTTATAGAAAATAATTTGAAATGTATTCTTTGGAATAAGAATATAATAAAAAAATTAAAATGACATCTATCTATTTAACCTTATTCATCAGCTAACAGGCTCTTTTGATGTTAAAAGAGTAAACCCAAGAGAGAGTTAAGTATGACTCTTTAAAATGCAAATGACAAAACTGGTGCTGAAATAGCAAACTGAATCAGAAGAAGAATAAATCTCAAAAGAAGTGTATTTAATCCAAGATTAATAGGTGAAGTACAGTCAATGTCCAGAAATGACCATGAGTGAGTCTGATTTTAGCACATAGTCTAAATCAAATATCTCTGAAGATGGAGGGACATGGAAAAGAATCTGAACAAACAGATGTTGCCTTTTCCCCAGTTTGTTAGCATTAGACCATACCCCATTTATTCTATCAAATTTCTGCATGACAGTTTCCTTTTCATCAAACCTAGCATGAAAATACACAGACTTAATCATTTCTTTGGGTCTTCATTTCCTCGTGGCAGCTCCCTCATCACATAAAACTTCCATTAAACAAACATCTCTACTTTTATCTTGTCAATCTGTCTTTCGTTATAGAAGCCTTAGTCACAAACCTAGGATGGATGGGGAAAATATATTTTTTTCTCCCCTATAGTATATATAGAAAAATAAAAACATCTCCTGTGAAAATTTTAAATTCCAACCATGGGTCAAACAGGAAATGGGATAGGAATTCCAAAAGATAATAAAACTTTAAAACTTTACAAAAAAAGAACAAAATGGATATCTAGAAATGAAAAATATAGATAGTGATTTTTTAAAAATAAGTATCATAGGAAGAAGATTAAGAACTGAAGAAAATTAGAGAACTGTTAGAAATGAGGAAGTATGCATTAGTCAGTCACAGAAAGATAGATGAGAACTAGTAAGGAGAGAGAAAGAAACATGAAAAGGACCAACACATTTCTAGTGGTAGTTTCCAGATGGAAGAATAGAAAGAATATGAGATAGACTATAGCAGAGGGAATGGAGTAGAAATTTATAAATTTGAAGTACCAAAAAAAGACCTAAATTAATTAATTGAAAAATCACAAGTTGCAAACATATTGAACACCTAGAAATACAGGGGTAAAAAACTAAAGAAATGACCATTAAATGCAGTAGAGCGTTAGGCGAGATAAAACATCAATCAAGAATGATACAAAATTGACATAGATAATGGAAATTAGCAGAAAGGATATCAAATAAGTTACTGTAACTTGGGTGCATATGTTCATATAGCATCGTGAGCCATATAAAAAAAAAAGACCCAAATCTACATCCTGGAAACCAGACCAACAATGTGTGAGATTCAAATTACACTGGATTGGATTAATGAGAGATATGACATTGCCAAAAGAAAGATTAGTGAACTTGGGACAGACATAGCAATGGAAATGAACCAAAATTTAGCACCGAGAAAAGAAAATAGAAAAGAGACCGCAGAATGGTAAAATATGGGACAACTTCAAGTGGCCTAATATATGTGTGATAGAAGTCCCCAAAGGAGAAAAGAAGGACAAAGGCAGAAAAACATATTTGACAAAATGATAGCCCCTAATATTGAATGTTTGAAAAAGTAATAAACTTCTCCAAAATATAAGTGATTCCTCAAAACAAGAAATCTGAAGAAAACGACAAGAAGGCACATGAAGATCAATTGTGCAAAATCAGTGATAAAGAAATATGTTAAAAGCAGCTAGAGAAAGAGAAACATTATATTCAGAGAAACTAAGGTAAGGAAGACAGTAAATTTTTCATTTGGGGAAAAAAAGCAAAAAGAAAGTGGAGAAACAGCTTTAATGTAGTGAGAGAAAAATATTCTCAGTCTAAAATCTAATAATAAATAATAAGAAAACACAGACAAATGAAAGCATCTGGGATTTACAAAAACTGGAGAAAGTATTACTACCAGATTGACACTACAAGAAATATTACAGGAGGCCTTTCATTAAGAATGAAAATAATACAAATTTGAAATATGGGTTGCCAAAAAGTAATGAAGAGCCATAAAATTGGTAACTACAAGGGTAAATGTATTTTTTAAATTTTGTTAAAAGATAATTGTCATAGCTCCATCTCTGATAAAGAAATTGAATGAATAATAAATAACTCTTCAAAAACAAAAGCACTAGGCCAAGATGTATTCACCAATGATTTCCACCCATATATTTGACAGCACTACAAATTCCACCTATATTAAAATTAAATTAAAGGAATATTTTGAGCAACTACAAATGAACCTGACAGTTTAGATGAAATAAAAAATTCCATGAAAACACAATCAAATATCACTCAAGAGAAAATCAGAATATCCCTATACCTATTAAATGAACCCAATTTATAGTTTAAAATCTCCCCCAACACCTACCCACACCCTACACACACAAAAACTTGATAGCTTCAATGATAAATGCTTCCAAATATTTAAGACAAAATAATAACACCAATTCTAATAATGTTTTCCAAAAATTGAAAAGGACAGAATACTTCCCAATTCATTCCATGAAGTTAGTGTTATCTTTATATAAAAGATATTCCCCCGAATTTATTTAATGAATTATGTTGTAGCCTACTTGTGGTACATTGTGCATCCATTAGCACTTCCTAAACTGGGAGAAATCATTAGGATATGTTAAATATATTAACATTATTCCTCCCAATTTTGATAAACAGAATAAACTAATCTATGCTCAAATAAATTATCTCAAATTTCCTGTAATGATTTTGCTTACTGACAATAGCAGTCTTTCAAAATATATAAGCATTTTTTTTTTTTTTTGAGACAGAGTCTTGCTCTGTCCCTCAGGTTGAAGTGCTGCGGTGCAATCTCAGCTCACTGTACTCTGCCTCCCAGATTCAAGTGATTCTCCTGCCTCAGCCTCTCTAGTAGCTCGGATTAGAGGTGTGCACCACCTCTGGCTAATTTTTGTATTTTTAGTAGAGACAGGGTTTCGCCATGTTGGCCAAGCTGGTCTCCATCCTGCCTGCCTCAGCCTCCTGAAGTGCTGGGATTACAGATGTGAGCCACTGTGACGGGCTGAAATACATCAGCATTTCTATTGATTTTCAAGGGGCAAGGATTTCAACTGTGTGTACTTATGTGTGTACAGAAAGAGTGTTGCTTGACACTTATATATAGTGATACACAGAAAAATAAGGCTTTTAACAGTTTTTACTTGCAAAAAATGAGCGCTAGGGTTTGAGGAAATATTGCTATTTTTGCTATTATGGAGTTCTTCAATCATGAATTACTCTCAATGTTAAATGACAAGATCAAAAAAATACTACTTCAGAGAAAATATTGTTTTTAATATAGGGAGAACACATATTAGCATACATATTAGTTTGAAGATATGAATAATTTCCTCATTCTTACAAGTCCAAATACAAAATTACATGTGGAATATATCAATAATTGTTTCATATATTTGTGCACGAAAAAGAACAAAACTATAAATGTGCAGAGATGCTTGATGTACAAGAACAAGATCCTCATTATGAATCGAACTGAATTAAACCCTGTGCACAGAAATAATTTTTAAAGTTTCTCCCTTCCTCATTCACTTTCGCTTTCCCAATTTGCAAGTTCTTTGATTTGATTTTCTCATGATTTCCCTAACCTTTATATGGCCAGAATATTCACACTGAATGACTTAATGAGTGCTGTAGGAGCAGAAGGAAATAGAGAAGCATCGAAGTACCTGGCATGGCTAATGAACAGAGCCGGGAGGACTAGTGCCCTTTGCATGCCTGCTCTACCACCAAGTAGACTCAGGATTCATTCCCACATCTAACATGGAGGCTTACACCAGATCAGTTTTTTAAAGCAATAAGGATTCTTTGAGCTTTCTTGAAAACACCTCTAACAATGTACTTTTAATGTTTCAAGGAGATAAGGGAACAAACAAGGGCAAGTGGGACCTCTATTTTAATAGAACAGCTTTGCTTTTAGCTATTTTGTTTTTGAACTTTCATATGATTTAAATTGGATAAAACAGAAAAGGTCTAAAAACTGCCGACCCAAGTGATCTCTAAGGCCTTTTCTATCCCTATAATGCTTGAGGTTTTATTCCATTACTGCCTAAGTGAACAGCCAATCTAGAAGAATTAAATGGGTTTTTCTTTCTGACACATCATCTCAACTATTTGACATCCCTTTTAATATTGTCACTTCTTGATCCCAAGCAACATAATTACAGATTTCTAAACAAAGTACAAATACTCTCCTCATCCTGAAAATCTTTTTAATTCTGGTCTGTTGTAACATTATAGTGTCTTTAATTAAATTCAAGATCCTTTGTGTTCTTACAAGTAGTTGAATCAATATAGTTGCTCTATTGAAAATGTGGAATATTACAGATTGACATTTTCAGTAAGGACCAATTTCAAAGAGCACTTGTGACATCTACATACAGACAGACATTTTAAGTAAGATTTCATATAAGACAGATGCTGTCCCAGGAGTTTTACATTCAGTATGTCAATTAGTCTCACAACGTCAATGTAATAGGTGTTATCGTACCCATTTTAGAGATAGAAAAGTAAGGACTGGAGGATTACCCAAAATTAACAAGGTCATAAGCAGAGTGCAAGGACTCCAGGTTTGACTTTAAAACATGCAGTATTAAATTGCAGTATTACATTTGAATGTGGGAGTTTAATTTGGAGATTTTAAAATGTTTCTATTTTAACACAGAGAGAGAGGGGAGAAGGAACAAGAACACAGTTTCCCACTGTGACAATAGCTAGTTGACCACATCCTGTTGAGACAGGTTTTATAGTGAATGCCCACTGTTTTCTCATCTGCAGACTTGAAGAAAATTAATATCTACATGACAGGACTCTTCTGAGGATAAAATAAGTTAATATATGTCACATATGAAGTACTCAATAATTTTTAAAAGCCCTTACTATTATCCACGTAAAACTTTTCTAGGTAGGGTGATCGGGATGGGATATTAGCAAATGACCTACCAGCAGGGTACGATTGGCTATAAGAAATTGTAGGATGGAGGATAGGACAATGGCAGAGATAGTTAACACTATTTCATTTTAGATTATTTGTTCCTGGATAGACAATGTCTTTTAAAAGGAGAAATTGTGTTACTTTCCTAACAGAAGATAATTTTTTAAAAAATTTGCAAGGAAGTATAATTAAAAACTAAAAAAAAGTAATAGAAAGAAAAATGTTATAGACACAAAATCTGAACACAAAGAACAAAACTAAGGGAGTCATGAGCACGATTGAAATGTGCACATTTGGGGATGTGTTTTATATAATACTCTTTTCTGAACAGACTTTTTCTTTAAGATTATCTTATACTCTTTTAATTCAATACAACCATCTGACCAGTTAGCACGTTAAAACCTAGGTATTTCTGCTGAATGCAAAGAATATTTATCCAGTAATGGCATTGGAATGATTAAGCGATTTTCAGCAACTGTCACATTAATCAAGCACAGCAAGGGTCAGAAATCTTTGAGGCTTCAAATTAGTGAACTGCCCAAGGGGAGGGAGAGAAATGGCCTGCAGAGGTCACTTCCCAGGTGAAAGGGGCTGTCTGCACAATCAATACAGTACAGAATGCCAAAGTCACTACTCTTTACAGCCCTCATTATCAACATCAGGAGTCACTTTATCAACCTTGTCTTTTAAAATGATGAAAAAGAGGTCATTTTGATGAACACTAAGGGATGGCATAAATTAGCGAAATTGTTTTGCAGCATAAAGCAAGAGCTTAATTCAGTATCTGAGGTAAAGGCAACTTGGAATGGAAAATAAAAAACAATTCAAAACTGGGATGAAAAGATTTGGGTTCAAGTCCTACCTTGATTCTGGTAGAAAATTATTTAAGATATAGAAAAGCTTCTAGGAGAGTGCTTGATAGACAGAAGGCATTCATTAGACTTTAATGTCTTTCCTCAGTAGACAGTGATATCCTTATACTCCAATTTGCAGTTGACCTTTGAACAACAAAAATTTGAATTGCATAGGTCCACTTATATGTGGCCTTTAAAAATAATTATATTGAAAATTATTTGGAGGTTTGTGACAAATTTTAAAAACTCATGGACAACCGCACAGTCTAGAAATATCAAAAAGTTAAGAAAAAGGTATGTCATGAATGCATAAGATATATGTAGATAATAGTATATTTAATAATTTACTACTATAAACTATACAAACATCTATTATAAAAAAATTAACTTTTCTAGAACTTATATACACACAGACTACATGGCATCATTCTCAGTGGAAAGAAATGTAAAACAAACATAAAGATGCAGTATTAAACCATAACTCGATAAAACTAACTGTAGTACATACTGTACTATTGTAATAATTTTGTAGCCACCTCTTGCTGCCTTTGCAGTGAGCTGAAGTGCTGTGAGTATCCACTTAAAGTTCTGTGAAATGCTAATCAACTCCAGGGGAGGATTCTTCTCTCCAGCAAATTACGTATTGCAGTCAAAAGTGATCTTTCTCTGGTTTCCCGTATTTTTCATCCTGTTTAGTGTAATACTCTAGCGCTTGAATAACACTGGGGTACCCATACAAAGTAAAGCTGAAAGTGCACCCAAGAAACAGACAACAGTCATAACATTACAAGAAAAAGTCCAGTTACTAATATGTGTGGTAGATTGAGGTCTTGCAGCTGTGTGGTAGACTGAGGACTTGCAGTCTGCTGTTTCAAGATAAATGAATCCAGCATAAGTAACATTGCAAATGAAAAGAAAATAAAATCTATGAAGTTGGCAGGGCGCGGTGGCTCAAGCCTGTAATCGCGGTACTTTGGGAGGCCGAGACGGGCAGATCACGAGGTCAGAAGATCGACACCATCCTGGCTAACACAATGAAACCCGGTCTCTACTAAAAATACAAAAAAAAAAAAAAAAAAAATTAGCTGGGCGTGGTGGCACGCACCTGTAGTCCCAGCTACTGGGGAGGTTGAAGCAGGAGAATGGCGTAAACCCGGGAGGCGGAGCTTGCAGTGAGCCGAGATTGCGCCACTGCACTCCAGCCTGGGCGACAAAGTAAGCCTCCCTCTCAATCAATCAATCAATCAATCAATAAAAATAAAAAAATGTGAAGTCATCGCTACAACTATTCCAGGCAAAAAACCTTTGCACTTTTTGAGAAATACCTTTTTACTTTGTATTGAAAATGAAGGTTTTATGTGCATGCAAGATTGCTGTAAGGAAGGCATACCTATGACTCTAATACAATTTGAGTAAAGCACTCATTATATGAAAACTTTAAGCAACGGGAAGGTGAAGGATCTAATGTTAGATAATTTAGTGCCAGCAAAGGATGGTTTGATGATTTTAGAAAAATGTTTGGTTTAGAAAATATTAAGATAACAGAAGTAGCAGCTTCTGCTTAACAAAAGGGCAGCGAGTTCACAGACACCATTAAGAAAATCGTTGAGGAGAAAGGATATCTTCCTGAGCAGGTTTTTAATGCAGATAAAAATACCCTATTCTGGTGGGAAAAAAAAATGTCACAAAGGACATTTATTAGTAAGGAAGAGACATAAGCATCAAGATGTAAGTCAGGAAAGAATAGGCTAACTGCTCTTTTGTGCAAATGCAGTTGGGTTTATAATCAGGACTTCCCGCATAAAGCTGTTAACCTCTGAGCCTTAAAAGGAAAAAAATAAACATCAGCTGCCAGTTTTCTGGTTGTACAAAAAAAAAGCCATGGACAATGATAACTCTTTTTCTGGATTAGTTCCATCAATGTTTTATCCCTAAAGTCAGGAAGTCCCTTGCCATTTAAGGCGAATTTATTTTGATATTGGACAATGCCCCTGGCCACCCAGAACCCCGTGAGTTCAACCTTGAAAGTGCTGAAGTGGTTTACTTGCCCTCAACCACAACATCTCTAATTCAATCTCTAAATCAGGAAGTCATAGGAAGCTGTAAGACTCATTACACACAGTATTCTATGGAAAGGATTACCAGTGCTACGCGAGGGAACACTGATACAGAGAATGTCACCAAAACTTGGAAAGATGACACCATTGAAGATGACATTATTGTTATATAAAAAGCCATGAAAGCCATCAAGCCCAAAACAATAAATTCCTAGTGGAGAAAAAACTGTGTCCAGATGTTGTGCATGACTTCACAGGATTTATGAAAGAAACAATCAAATAAATCATAAAAAGATATTGTGGGTATGGCAAATATGGTGGTGGGGGGTGAAGGGTTTCAAGATACGGATCTTGGAGAAATTTAAGAACTAATAGACATCACACTACAGCAATTAACAGAAGATGACTTCATGGAGATCAGTGCTTCTGAACCAGTGCCAGTCAATGAGGAAGAAGATGTAGAAGAATCAGTGCTAGACAACAAATTGACGTTAGACAGTCTCTCAGAAGGGTTTTGTTTAAGACTTCTTTTGACTTTTATGACATGAACTGTTCTGTGATATGGGTACTGAAAGTACCACCCATTGCTTAAATGGTGGAAGAAGGATTAGTATCATATTGAAACAGTTTTAGAGAAATAAAAAAGTGAAAATTCAAACAGAAATTATTATGTATTTCATAAAGTTATACAAAGTGTGCAGGTCTCACTTGCCTCCCATTTCACCTCTTTCACCTCTTCCTCTTCTGCCACCCCTGACACAGAAAGGCCAAGCCCTTCTTTTTCTCCTTTTCCACAGCCTATTCAATGTGAAGAGGAGGAAAAACACCTCCTAATGATACACCTCCACTTAATGAATAATAAATATATTTTCTGAATTATATTTTCTTTTCATTAGCTTACTTAGTGAGAATACAGTAATAATACATATAACATATAAGATATGTGTTAATTTAGTGCTTATGTTCTTGAGTAGTCAAAAGTTATACAGATTTTCAAATGCATGGGGGATCAACACCCCTAACTCCTTCATTGTTCAAGGGTCAACTGTACTTATCTATAAGAAAGAGAATTAGACCAAATGAATAAAGGATGTTTTAACATTTTCATCTCGTCTAATCCTTTTATAAAAAGACTGAGTATGATGGTCATGTTGGTGTCTGTATTTAACAGCTATATGCATTTGAATCCCTTCCCTCCCTGATTGGGTGTGTATGTAGGATTCCCAGTCCCTCATGGGGATAGGAAAACTTTGGCTCACACCTAATTTTTACAGCAGCTGAGGTCAGAGTAGAGGGTGACAAGAAGCAAGGGAAGAGTGGAAAGTATCTGCACCAGCGATTTTTATGCCCTCGAAGCAATACGGTACCTTCCAGGATTCCTAGGTTTTTCCTCCTGCTATCTGAAGAAGAGATCTAACAAACTACTCTTTTCAAACCATTCAAAACCCAATGTCAACACAGGATCCCTAGACCATTTTGCCCACCAACTAGAGGAGAGAGAGAGAGAAAAAAAATGTACCAAATAGACTGCTTGTTTTAGCCTTACTTCCCAGTATCCTTTGAACAAATATCCTATCTTTCCTTACTGGCAACAAAGTAGAGGACCATTTATGGAATGAATGACCAAATAATTTGTCAACATGTCTGCAACCAATTCCCATTGGAATGCAGGGCCTTCATCTTTTCTTTAATAGGGCTATGTTATGGCAAGTATATCTCATTATCTTTGCCATAATACTTCAGTTCAATTTGAAGTGTCTAATATGGGACCTTAATTTGGGGGCTAAAAAGATATCTGGATCAGGGAGCGCACATGGTACAGTACGCACCACAGAAGAGAAACTTTGAAATTATGAAATTCTGAGCTTATATAAAAGTTGCTGGTGCATTTGCCTATCCTCCCTTCTGAAGACAGAATGAGTGAGTAATCTTTGCGCTAGAAAGAGGTAGAGTAGGAGGGGAGGTCTATAGGTTTTTATTATAATTTGTGTTTTTAACTTCAAATTCCAATTGTTCATTGCTGGCATATAGAAAATCATTTGACTTTTACGTATTAACTTGTATCCTGCAAACTTGCTCTAACTGATTATGTTTTCCGGGAGTTATTTTGTCGATTCTTTGAGATTATCTACATAGATAATCAAGTCCTCTTTGAAAAAATATTTTATTTATTTCTGCCTGTATACCCTTTATTTCCTTTTATTGTCTTCTTGCACTAGCTAGACTTCCAGAATAATGTTGAATAAGAGTAGTGAATGGGAATATCCTTGCATTGTTCCCCATCTTAGAGAGAAAGCTAGTTTCTCACCATTAAGTACGACATTAGCTATAGGGTTTTTGTCGATTTTTTAAAAATGAAATTGAGGAACTTCATGTTGATTCCTAGTTTTCTGAGAGTTTTCATCATGAATTATTTTGTGAAATACATTCTTTTTGGATTTTGTAAAAAGCTTTTACTGCATTTATTGATGTGATCCTGTGATTTTTCTTCTTCAGCCTGTTTATGAGACAGATTACATTAATTGATATTCAAATGTCAAAGTAGCCTTAGATACCTGGAATAAGTCCAAGTTTCTCATGGCATATAAATTCTTTTTATACATTTTTGGACATAATTTGTTAATATTTTGTTGAGGATTTTTACAGTTTTGCTTATGAGAGACATTTTTTTCTGTAATTTTCCTTTCTTGTTAGTTGTCTGGTTTTGCTTTAGGATAATGCTATCTTTGTAGGATAAGTTAGAAATAATTTCTTCTGCTTATATTTCCCAGAAAAAAAAAATTCAGAGAATTGGTATAATTTCTTCTTTAAATGTGTGGTGGAATTTACCAATGAACTTATCTGGACCATCATGATGCTTTCTGTTTTGAAAGGTTATTAATCATTTAATGTCTTGAATAGATATAGTCCTACTCAAGTTATATATTTGTTTCTGTGTGAGTTTTGATAGATTGCATCTTTCAAGGAATTGATTCATATTATCTAGTTATCAAATGTATTATCATTTAAAAAATAAGAAAATCTTTTTGGAGCAATTCACTGCCTCTAACTTCAAAATTGTGTTTATCATTCAGTGTTCACACACAGATTGCCAGCATTTTTTTTTTTGCTGACAAAAATCTGATTCTGCAGAAACATGAAAATATTCAGAAAATTTCACTTGACACTATTAATGAGATGCAGCATCCTTTTGTGTTTTCGGTTATTTGTATTGCCTTTTTTCTTCTTATCTGATGTACCTTTAACATTCTATTTTTCTCTTCCTATTATTTTGTTTGAAGCATCCTATAATCTATTTTATATTGAAAAATCTTGCAGCATTCCTTTGTACTTGTGTATTAATTAAATTTGAGATCAAATAATTTGTGTAACTCATATTTGCTACATAGGATCAATAAATCTTGACATTCAACTTTTCTACTATTGCTGTACAAGGTTTCTTTCTGGTAGAGTTCAATGTCAGTTAGCTAGAGTCTATCTCTCATCCCCAAATTTAACAGTGAGGCACATATGCAAATAGCATTGCACCATAAACATAGTAATGGAGAAAAAATATTTTATAATAATTCTTTTTTATACTGAAAATATGTTTTCTCTTTTTCTGGTCGATGATTATTAATGGCATGGGGCCTAGTAATCTTTCGTAAATTTTATATGTAAAAAGGTCCACAAAATCATGTATATTCTTTTTTATTAGAGAGTGTCATTCAAATTAAAATGAAAAATATATACATCATGATTATATAAGGAATTTAAATATAAAATGATTTTTACCTCTCACTTATTTGTTATTAAGCCCTTAAAGAACAGTTGGTTAAGTAATCAATTATGTGTGAGAATATGCAGCATCATCATTTCACATATCTAATGTGAAAAGAGCATTGCTGGGTATCAAGGAAAGGAAAAAAAATAATGGTTTGAAAATGTTTATATTTGTCAAGTTGGTTCAGTTGAAAATTGTTTAAAAATTTAAGTTCTGAGATCTAATAAAAACTGTCTCTAATTGAGCAATAGGTCCACACATTGCAAACTATTATTAACAGGCCTCTTTGTTAGAAGCATACTATGTATCAAGTTCTATACTGCACAGTTCACTTACATCATCTCATTCATTACTCACAACAATAAAATAAACAATATATTCCAACGTTATATATCTTAAGAAACCAGGGTCCAGAGAGACTTAGTAACTTACTCAGATTATAAAATAGTAAGTGATATGCTATAGCTAGGATTCAATCCCCACTCTCTCATACTAGTGCTGTAGTTTTTTTTAATCCTATATGATACATATTCCACATTTCTAAAAGGCTCCAGCAGAAATGCATTATTTACTCTATGATTAAAAAAAGGCACTTTTCAATTTTTTAATTAATAAGGCAAATTTGATTATAAACTTTTAGATTTTTGAATTAAGGATGCTCAACTTGTATATAAATTTAATTCTGAAGCAAAAATTGAAATGCAATTTGTTTTTAAGCACAAATATTATTGAAAATTGGTTATATATTAACCCCAAAAGAAAATATCAAAGAATACAAAAATTGTTTCACTCAATACTGTAAAAAGTTTTATTAAACAATATATTTCACCATCAAAAAATTATTTCAGAATTTCTTGAAAAGAATGGCAGTTAAACACAGAAAAACAGAATAGTAAAACTAGAAAGGCACCAAATTGCCTATAAAATTTTACTATATAATAATGTACCACTTTAAATTATTGGGAAAAGTGGATGTTTTTAACATATGTTATGAGATGTCGGCGCAGTTAGCATCTGAGATTCTGGATAAAGAGGCTGGACAGAGAGGTAAGGAAACTAGCAGAAATGTTGACAATCTCACAGGGTTCTAAAAAAAATAAGTAAAAGTTCAGGGCTACTGAGGCAATTTGGGAAAGCTAAGACTTTTGAGTGAAATGAGATTCAGGAATTTGAGCCCGAAACACTTAATAAACTGTACAAAGCAAGATATGGGAAGCTCATAGTGCTGAGAAAGCACAAAGAGTTGAGGCTCAGTACTGAACGAGTAGTTCCAGTAAGACTTTGGGAGGGCTACATCTTAGGAGCAGGCATGAACTAGAGTTAGACCAAGTCTCCCTGAAAGCACAAACCAGATTTGTAACAGTAATTCCCATCTGCCCAGCAGGGAATAAAATAAACTTTCACGTTAGGGTAAGAGTATCATCCAAAGCTTAAAGATATATTATACAAGATACTCTGTATTCAATATAATATTAAGTTAAATTAATGTATACTTAAGTATAATGATCATGGAGAAGACTCAATATGATAAAGATATTTATCTATACATCTGATGCAACTGCATTAAAAATTCCAGCACTTTATATTTGATAGAAATAATCTTTTTCTAACATTTATTTTAAAAGAGTTACGAAGTAGGGCAAAAAAAAAGTCAATAAAAAGTTTTACAGGAATAAATGCCCTGAATAATTAATTCAACCACATATTAATACTATAACTTTATTGCAAAGATAGAAAATAGAATAATGTAAGAAATATCGAGAAACACAACCATACATACATGGTCCCCGTTTTTGTAATAAACGTGACATGCTGGTCATTTGGGAAAGGATCATCTTCCCCTAGTGGATCCCGTGCCTGCCAGGCCCGCACCCCTGTACCTGCACTCCTCGGCCTTTGGGCGGTCAATGGGACTGGGCGCCCTGGAGCAGGGGGCGGTTCCCATCAGGGAGGCTCCGGCGCCTGGGAGCCCACAGGGGCGGGTGGGGGAGGGGGGCAGTGGCTTGGGCCACGTGGGCTGTAGGTCTGAGCCCTGCCCCGCGGGCAGGCAGCTGACACCTGGCGAGAATTCGAGCTCGGGGCAGGCTGGCAGTGCTGGGAGGACCTGGCACACCCTCCGCAGCTGCTGGCCTGGGTGCTAAGCCCCTCACTGCCTGGGGCCGACGGCGCCGGCTGGCCCCTCCGAGTGCGGGCCCACCCAGACTGCACCCACCGGCAGCTCACGCTGGCCCGCGAGCAGCCTCGGTTCCCACCTGCCTGCGCCTCTCCCTCCACACCTCCCTGCAAGCAGAAGGAGCCGGCTCCGGCCTCGGCCAGCCCAGAGAGTGGTTCCCACAGTGCAGCAGCGGGCTGAAAGGCTCCTCAAGAGTGGCCAGAGAGGGTGCGAAGGCCCAGGAGGTGCCAAGAGCGAGCGAGGGCTGCCAGCACGCTGTCACCTCTCAGTACCAGGTCAATCAAATATCCATATGAAAAAGTAAATATAAAGTTTAATTTACATAAAAATAATTCTGAATATAACATAAAAATTCTAGCAATATGTCTTTATGATAAAAATATCAGGGAATATTTCATATACCTTGGATAGGCAAATATATCTTAATTTAGTAAATAAAGTTCATAAATAAATGCTTAGCCTTAAAATAAATTTTGATAGATAAGACTATATTAAAATAAAGTTCTGCTTATTAAAAGATCTCTTGGAAGTGAGAAGATACAAAATGGAAGAAATAATGGACAATACACATATTTGACAAAGACTAGTAATCATAACATAAACTACAAATAAAAATTATTGAGCCAAGCCTAACAAAACTGCAAAAAAACTTGAACATGCTCTTACAAATGAGTTCATGTATAAAGCCAATAAACATATCAATAGCTGCTCTACTTCATTAGTCTTCAGGGATATAATAATTAAAAATTTAATAAAGTACCACCATGCAAAATCAAAATGGTTAAATTTTAAAGTGAAAATAATACCAAGTATTGGCAAGAATGTGGAGCAACAATTTTCTATATAGTAGAAATATACATTAGTGCATTCATTTTGGAAAATTGTTAAATTGTTTGGCAGTGTCTACTAGAGCTGAACAAATACATATCTTATGTTTAACAATTTCATTCTCAGACAGAAACTCAGCTAAATGTATGTCTTTATTCACCAAAATCAATTCATGCTTATTGTTCCACTAGTAATATAGGAAAATTAGAAATAAGCCAAAAGTGTATTAACAACAGAATAGATAATTACATTTTAGTATACTTACACAATGGAATACAATACCATGGTTGGTGTAATGATAAGTGAATATTACTGCATATAACCAAATGAATAAATGTCACAAACATAATTTGAAAAAACAGAACAGAGTATACACTGTATGTTTTTATTTATTTAAGGTTGAAAGCCAAGCATAACTGGAAGTGGCAGTAATAGTTACTTTTGGGGAGACATGATGATACTTTCTAAGATACTGGCAATATGCTATTTTTTTAATTTTGAGGCTGGAAAGTGAAAGTGTTCATTTTGTAAAAATTACTTTGTTTGTAATATGTTCACTTTTTTATATGTCTGCTACCCTTGAACAATTTTTAAAAGGTGACTTGATTCACAGTCTGCATTAATAATTTTAAATCTCTTAATGAAAACCATATTATGTTTACAACTATAATACATTATTAGTAGTACTAAGTACTCCTCAGCTCAAAAGTTGGAAAACCCCACATTTCCTTCTTCCCTAGGAAGAAAATAAATAAAATGATTCATAAAATACCTTTCATTAAGTTTGAAATACACAGAATGCTGACAGCTACCTACCACTCATTTAATGGCAGTGTTTGCTTTAGGCAAAAGATCTAAAAGAAATATGGCTTTTGAGTGCTAAGTTAACATGTAAAATCACATATACATATTGTAAATTGTGCTACAAGAATGAAATAATAATATATCTAAATCACCTGTTAAAAGTCTCACTTTTGAGGCATTAAATTAGATTATCATTGTGAAAGACCCCTGTGATTTCAAATGTTGTAATTGTAACACCCATGTTATCTTTGCTATCTACTAGTTTTGCAAGAAGATACCTGGATCGCTCTACCTATAGTGTTTATTTATTTCATCTCATGGAAGGTTTGAGTTTTAATAATATCTCCTTTTAGTGCTATCAAATACTGTACAATCTACTGATATTTTCTGCTTTAGTTTTAGTGATATCCTTACTCTGAGTAAACTTCACCTATGTCTGTTTCTATTAACTGTATGCCTGTAAAGAGTGACTTGGAGGTACCTGGCCCAGCTTCACAATCTTTATTGATAAAAATTTCATTTTGACAGCTATATATTTTCACCAAATAAGGCTATGCTAAAACAAAGCCTTCAAGGGAAATAGATTTGTATAGGAAAAATACAGCAAGAGGTTGAAAAAGTTAAAAGGATGAAATAAATAGGGATGACACTTGGTCAGTATCTAAAATGGGAACATCAAATGTAATATCAGTTACATAGGAATATATTTATTCAAAATTGAATATTAAAATAAAATGGCTCCAAGCAAAAATAGTGTTGGTTAAAGGCAATGATTATGAAAATCAAGGATTTGCTTTCCCATTTAGGAAGGAGAGGGAGAATTAAAGAGGGAAGAAAAGAAGAAAGGTAAAGAGATTCTTTAAATCAGCGTTATGAATGCATGAAACACCCCGGGCAGTCGATGTGTGAAACAGAGCAGAATCAAAACAGCAATTCCTTGAGAAATGATCTACATTGTGGAATACCCAACGGGTTTCTGAATGACCTATGGATAGCACATAAGCAGGACAGATCAGAATAGTACAACAAGGACTTTGAAAACATAATTGACATTTTATCCACAATCCCACAAATTAGGCCAGGACAAGTGTTCTGAACTGAAACAGGTTAAATGCCTGCTGAAATAGAAGAATTTGATTAGGAAACAGTCTCATGACAGTACTCAAAATGTCCAAGATACAATCCAAAGTTGGTCTGGGTAAGAATAAGAAAAATCTCAAATAGAATAAGAAAAAGGAATGAAAGATGACTGAAATGTTGGAAATACAAGCAGCTATTATAAAATATTCCAACAAGCAATGGCAATCATCCTTGAAACAAGTGATAAATAAAAATGTTCAGAAAAAAAGTATATAATGAAGAACAAACTGGGAATTCAGAAATAAAACTATATGATAACCAAATTACAGAACTCTGTGAATGGACACAATAGCAAAATGGAGATGACAGAGAAGCAAATCAGTGGATGTGAAGACATATTCATAAGAAGTTTCCAAGCTAAACAACAGACAAAATTATCTGATTTGGTTCAAATGTATGTATAGAAAATACACATAAGAAAATCATAACAGAAAGGGAGAGAATAGTTATGGTAAGGTGCTTACATTCTATTCAAAGTGGTGAAGTATTGATAGTATTAGACTGTGATAAGTAAAATATATATTCCCCACGAAAGAATTTCTCAATTTAGTATGGATGACATTTTCTGCCAGATAACTGTTGTGTAGAACTGTTCTGCACATTGTAAGGCTTCTGACAATATGCCTGGCCTCTAACAACCAGATAGATGTCATTAGCAACCCACTTCCCAGTTACAAATGAAAAACATCTCCAAATATTATCAAATGTTTCTTAAAGGAATGGGGGGATTTTCCTTGGTTGAGAACCTCTGTCCTAGAGTAACTATTAAAAAATTTATACAAAAGTTCTTTAGTTTAATTAAATCCTATTTGTCTCTCTTTTTATTGCATTTGCTTTTGGATTCTTGGTTATGAAGTCTTTTCATGAGCCAATGTCTAGAAGGGTTTTTGCGATGTTATCTTCTAGAATTTTTATAGATTCAGGTCTTAGATTTAAGTCCTTGATCCATCTGTAGTTGACTTTTGTATAAGGTGAGAGATGAAGACCCAGTTTCATTCTCCTACATGTAGCTTGCCAATCATCCCAGCACCATTTGTTGAACAGGTTGTCCTTTCCCCACTTTATGTTTTTGTTTGCTTTGTTGAAGATCAGTAGGCTGTAAGTATTTGGGTTTGTTTCTGGGTTCTCTATTCTGTTTCATTGGTCTATGTGGCTAATTTTATATCAGTACTATGCTGTTTTGGTGACTGTGGTCTTATAGTATAGTTTGAAATCAGGTAATGTGATGACTCCAGATTTGTTCTTTTTGCTTAGTCTTGCTTTGTCTATGCGAGCTCTTTTTTGGCTCCATATGAATTTTAGAATTGTTTTTTCTAGTTATGTGACAAATGTTGGTGGTATTTTGATGGGAATTGCATATAATTTATAAATTTCTTTTCACAGTATGATCATTTTCACAACATTGATTCTACCCATCCCTGAGTATGGGATGTGTTTCCATTTATTTGTGTTATCTATAATTTCTTTCAGCAGCGTTTTGTAGGTTTCCTTCTAGAGGTCTTTCACCTCCTTGGTTAGGTATATTCCTATGTATTTTATTTTTTTGCAGCTATTGTAAAAAGGGGTTGAGTTATTGATTTGATTCTCAACAGCCAAAGTGGTCGCTGTTAGTCTACAGCAGCACTACTGATTTGTGTACATGAATTTTGTATCCTAAAAATGTTGCTGGATTCATTTATCAGCTAGGAGCTTTTTGGGGGAGTCTTTACGGTTTTCTAGGTATACAATCATATCAACAGCAAACAGTGAAAGTTTGACTCCCCCTTTACTGATTTGGATATCCTTTATTTCTTTCTCTTTTCTGATTGCTCTAGCTAGGACTTCCAGTATCATGTTGAATAGACGTGGGAAAATTGGGTGTCCTTGTCTTGTTCCAGTTCTCAGAGGGAATGCTTTCAACTTTTCCCTGTTCAGTATTATGTTGGCTGTATCATAGATGTATTATAGATGGCTTTCATCACATTGAGGTATGTCCCTTATATGCCGATTTTGCTGAGGATTTTAATCATAAATGAACGCTGGATATTGTCAAATGATTTTTATGCAACTATTAAGATGATCATGTGATTTTTGTTTTTAATTCTGTTTATGTGGTGTATCACATTTATTGACTTGTGTATGTTAAACCATTCCTGCATCTCTGGTATGAACCCCACTTGATTATGGTGGATTATCTTTTTGATGTGCTATTGGATTTAGATAGCTAGTATTTTGTTAAGATTTTTGTATCTGTGTTCATCAGGGATATTGGTCTGTAGTTTTCTTTTTTCATTATATCCTTTCTTGGTTTGGGTATTAAGGTGATACTGGCTTCATAGAATGATTTAGGGAGAATTTCCTATTTCTCTATCTTGTGAAATAGTGTCACTTAAAACTTTTGCCCAGAAAAAGAAACAGTCAGCAGATTAAACACACCAACCACAGAGTGGGAGAAAATCTTCACAATCTATACATCCACCAAAAGACTAATATTCAGAATCTACAACAAACTCAAACAAATTAGCAAGAAAAAAAAATCCCATCCAAAAGTAGACTAAGGACATGCTTAGACAATTCTCAAAACAAGATATACAAATAGCCAACAAATACATGGAAAAATTCTCAACATCACTAATGATCAGCAAAATGCAAATCAAAACCATCATGTGATACCACCTTACTCCTGCAAGAATGGCCATAATTAAAAAATAAAAAAAGAAATGTTGGCATGGATGTGGTGAAAAGGGAACACTTTTACACTGCTGGTGGGAATGTAAACTAGTACAGCCACTACAGAAAACAGTATGGAGATTCTTTAAGGAACTAAAAGTAGAACTACCATTCTATCGAGCAATTTCACTACTGGGTTTCTACCCAAAGGAAAATAACTCATTACACAAAAAACATACTTGCACACAGGTTTATAGCAGCAGAATTCACATTTGCAAAAATATGGAACCAGCCCAAATGCCCATCAATCAAGTGGATAAAGAAACTGAGATAGATATATATATATATATATATATATATATATATATATTCAAATGTGATATATGTAATCAAATGTGATATATATAATCAAATGTGATATATGTAATCAAATGTGATATATATATAATCAAATGTGATATATATACATATATACATATATATGTATATATATACACACACACACACACATACATATCTCACAGTTTCTCAGCCAAAAAAGGAATGAAGTAATAGCATTCACAGCAACCTGAATGGGATTGGAGATTGTTCTTCTAATGAAGCACCCCAGGAATGGAAAACCAAACATCATTATGTTCTCACTCATATGTGGGAGCTAAGCGATGAGGATGTAAAGGCATAGAATGATACAATGGACTTGGGGGACTCCAGAGAAAGGGCAGGAAGTGGGTGAGGGATGAAATGCTACACAATGGGTTCATTGTATACTGCTTGGGTAATGGGTGCACCAAAATCTCACAAATTACCACTAAAAAACTTACTCATGTAACCAAATACCAACTGTTCCCCCAAAAAATATGGAAATTAAAAAAATAAAAAATGAAAAATAATTCAAAAAGGCCTTACATGTAAGACTTCAGGGAGTTTGGGTCTTCAGGATGAACTGCACAATTCTCCTTGCTTGGTGCCCTGCAATAAATGCCTCACTTTCTCTCCCTGAAAAAAAAATTCAAAGAGATATATTAAAATAATTATAAAAATTGTACAGTAACAAATAGAAACACAGTGAACTGGAAACAAATGAAGAAACAGAGAAAACTGGGGCTCTCGGTAATCAATGGAGCAACTGGATAAAAAAAAATGAGACTGGATATAAAATGATTGAACAACTTTATCAGCCAAAAAATCTCATTAAGATTTGTGGAAACACTCTATTAGACAGCAGCAGAATATGCATTGTTGCAAGTGTAAGTGGAACATTAACCAAGATATAGGACACTCTTTTGTAAACCAATCTAACACATTTTAAAATATCAAAATCATGCAAAGTATGATAAGCACTGATCAACTGGAATTAAAGTAGAAGGCAGTAACAAAAAAAGAGACAAATCTGCAAACGCTAGACAGTATACCTCTAAGTGATGCATGTGTCAAAAGAAAATACATTTTACTAATTAAAATTATAATACAATGTTTAAAATAGGCGATATGCAACTAAAATAAAGCACAGATGTATATGTATACACTAAATGCCTCTATTTCTTTAAAAAGAAAGAATACTTTCCAAACAATGCTATAAGCTTCCACCTAAAGAGCCTAGGAAAATAGAAACATTAACTCAAAGCAACGAGGATATAAATAATAGAAAAAGAAATAATAAGAGAAAAATAATAAAACTGAAAACCCAAAAATAATATATATAAAGAAAATCAATGAAACCAAACCTGCTTTTTTTAAAGATGAATAAAAATTTCTAGAAGATTGTCAAAGAAAAAAGAAGGGACACAAGGCAATATCAGAAAAAAAAGAAAATATCACTATAGATATTAAAATATAACAAGAAAAAACTACAAACAATTCATACAATTTCAACAACTTAGATAAATTGGACCAATTACTTAAAATAATGATGTTACCAAAACTCATCCAAGAAGATATAACCTAAATTGTATATAAGTATTAAAAATAAATTTCCAGTTAAGTTTTTTCAAACATACATTTCCATAGTTAATTTTATTAGTAAGTTCTGCCAAAAATTTAAACAAGAAACAACATCAATTCTACCCAATTTATTTGAGGAAACAGAATAGAAAGAAATATCTCCTAGTCATATTATAATTCCAGAATTACCTTATTACCAAAAACAGATAAAGACAATACAAAACATGAAAACCCTTAAAAATGTCTCCCATAAACATAAATGCAAGTATTCTCAAAAAAATCTAGCAGAATTCTATAATATATAAAAATAATATTACATCATAGTCAAGGGAGTTTCATTCCAGAAATACAAGATGGATTTGAAAATCACTATTTGAAAACAAAGCACTATAATCCATCATACTGAAAATCTAAAGTGTAAAAAGTCCTCATGATACATTAACTGACAAAAAATTATTTGACAAAAACCAACACCTAAAAATTATTTTTAAAAACTCAGAAAACTAGGAATAATACCATCCTTAATCTAATAAGGAACTTCTACAATAAACCCATAGCAAACATCATATTTAATGATTAAAGACTAAAAACTTCCACCCTAAGATTAAGAAGAAGGCATAATGCACACACTATTTCTACTCAGCATAGTACCAGAAGACCTAGCCAGTGAAATAGGGTTGGAAGATAAAATACAGGCAACTATAACTGAGCCTATCTGCAGATTACATGATTGCATATGCAGAAAATATCAAGGAGTTTCCAAATGTTTTCTAGAACTAAAAATTGAATTTATCAAGGTTATAGAATGCAAGGTCAACACACATAAAAAACTGTATTTTTGCACAAGAGAAATAAATAATCAGAAAGAAACACTAAATATATAGTGACATTTATTATACCTCAAAAAGTTAAATACTTAGGTATATCAAAGCATACACAGGATATCAAACCACATACAGTATATACATCCTGAAAACTACAAATTTTGATGAAAAATAAAAGAAGACCATAATAAGAAATATGGCCATGGTCATAAATCAGTAAACTTAGCATAGGGAGATGTTAATTCTCTCCAAATTGATCTATAGATTTATTGCATGTCATATAAAATCTCAGCAGGATGTTTGTGTAGCTATAGACAAGCCAATTTTAAAATGTATACAGAAAGGCAAAGAAACTAGAATAGTAAAACAATTTGTAAAAGAAAAATGAAGGTGAAGGAACTCCACTATCTGATTCTAAAACCTCTTTACCATAAACCTACAATTATCAGGAAAGTATATTATTGGTGGATGGATAGACACAGAGATCAATGGAACACATTAGAGAATCAATTAATAATATAGATCCACTCAAGTATAGTCAACTAATTTTCTAAATAAAAGGGCAAAAGCAATGTAAAAGAGGAAGGATAGTCTTTTTAACAAATGATGTAGGAATTATTAAATATCAGTAGGCAGAATTAAACCTGGAACTAACTCACACTTCATACAAAAATTTATGAAAAATGGATCCTGTATCTAAATGTGAAATGTAAAATAAAACTTCTACATAAAAATATGGAGAAAATCTTTTTAATCTGTGGTTAAACAAAATGTTCATGACAAAAAAACATGATCTATAAAAGAAAAAAGTCAGTAAAATAAATTTAGTAAAAATCCAAAACCCTGCTCTGTGAAAGGCACTATTAAGCAAATAAAAATGCAAGCCACAAAATATAAAAATTATATGTGCAAATCACATGTTTGACAAAACATTTTTAACCTAAATATGTAAAGAATTCATTATACTCAATGATATGAAATCAGATAATCAAATTTGAAAATGGGCAAAAGAACAGAAAGTTTATTAAAGATGATATATACATTGCAAATAAGCTCTTTTAAAATGCTCTACATATCCCCCATTAGAAACATGCAAATTGTAGCAATTATTTGATACTTCCACACATAAGAAAGGCTAAATGAAAAATAGTATTAACACCAAGTGCTGATGAGGATGCACTGGGAACACAAAAACAGTTAAGGGCCGGGCGCGGTGGCTCAAGCCTGTAATCCCAGCACTTTGGGAGGCTGAGACAGGTGGATCACGAGGTCAGGAGATCAAGACCATCCTGGCTAACACGGTTCCTGGCTAACATGGTGAAACCCTGTCTCTACTAAAAAATACAAAAAATTAACTGGGCGTGGTGGTGCACACCTGTAGTCCCAGCCACTCGGGAGGCTGAGGCAGGAGAATGGCGTGAACCCGGGAGGCGGAGCTTACAGTGAGCTGAAATTGCTCCACTGCACTCCAGCCTGGGCGACAGAGCAAGACTCCGTCTCAAAAACAAACAAACAAACAAACAAAAAAAAACAGTTGAACAGTATCTTTTAAAATGAAAAAGGTACTTGCCATATGATTCATCAACCCCACTGCTGGGTATTTACCATGGAAAAATAAAAAAACTGTATAGGCAAATACTCATATTTTTTAATAGTCAGTAGCTGGAAACAACCAGTGAATAGATCATATCTATCTATATATAATTTTCTACAGATAGATATATCTATTTTTTTAATAATAGACATCCTAATAGTTGTGAAGATATATTTCATTGTAGTTTTGATTTGCATTTTTCTAATGATTACTGACATTAAACATCTTTTCAAATATTTTTGGGACATCTATGTATTTTTTTAAATGTCAATTAAAATCACTTGCCCATTTCAAAATCAGGTCCTTTTTTTTTCTGTTGAGTTGTAGGAGTTCCTTGCATATTTTGGATATTAACCCCTTATCAGATATATGGCTTGTAAATATTTGTCTCCATTTCAACCAGGTTACAGTTTGCCTTCTCACTATTAATAGTCTCTTTCTTTGTTTCTCCTTTTTTTTTTTTTTTTTTTTGGAGTCTTGCTCCGTCACCTAGGCTGTAGCGCAGTGGCACAATCTCGGCTCATGGCAACTTCCACCTCCTGGGTTTAAGTGATTCTCCTGCCCCAGCCTCCTGAGTAGCTTGAATTACAGGCACCCATCACCAAACCGGGATAATTTTTGTATTTTTAGTAGAGACGGGGTTTCATCATGTTGGCCAGGCTGGTCTTGAACTCCTGACCTCAAGTGATCCACCCATCTTGGCCTCCCAAAGTGCTGGCATTACAGGCGTGAGCCACTGTGCCCAGCCTAATAGTTTACTATGCTGTGCAGAAGCTTTTCAGTTTTATGTAGTCCCATTTGCCTAATTTTTACTTTTGTTTCTTGCGCTGTTGGTATTATATTCAAGAAATCACTGCCAACACCAATGTCATGAAGATTTTTCTGTGTTTTCTTTTAAGATATTTACAATTTCAGGTTTTAAGTTTAAGTATTTAACCCATTTTGAGTTGATTTTTGTGTATGGTGTAAGATAAAAGAACAATATTATTATTTTGCATGTGAATATTCATTTTCTCAACATTTTTTGAAGAGACTATTTTTCCCTATTGTGTATTTTTGGCAGGCACCTTGGTGGAAGATAAATATCTGTATATCTGTGGGGTTATTACTAGGGTCTCTATTCTCTTCCATTATAATATGTCTGTTTTTATACCAATACGGTACTGTTTAATTACTATAATTAGTATAACTTTGTAATATATTTTGAAATCAGGTAGTATGATGCCTCCAACTTTGTACTTTTTTCTCAAGATTGCTTTTGCAATTTGGGATATTTTGTGGTTCTATATGAATATTAATTCTGATACCAAAGCCAAACAAAGACACTATAAGAAAAGAAAACTACAGAACAATGTCCCTGATTAACAGATGCACAAATCTTCAATAAAATACTCAAAAAACTAGGTATAGAAGGAATTCACCTTGACATAATAAAGGCCACATCTGAAAAACTCATAGCTAAGATTGTATTCAATGGTAAAACATTGAAAGCTTTTCCCCCTAGATCAGAAACAAGACCAGGGTGCTCATTCTTACCACTTCTATTCAACATAGTACTAGAAGTCCTATCCAGAGCAATTAGGTCAGAAAAAGAAAGGACACCCAAATATAAAATAAAGAAGTAAAATTACCTCTGTTCACAGAGAACATAATCTTATGTATACAAAATCCAAAAGGGAAAACAACTTTTAGAACTAATTAACAAGTATAATGAAGTTGCAAGATACAAAGCTAACATATGAAAATTATCTGTGTTTTATATGCAACAGCAAATGGAATAAGAATTAAGAAAATTCCATTTATAATGGAATCAAAAAGAATAAAATGCTCAGGAATAAATTTAATCAAGGAGGTGAAAGATCTATATACTAAAACCTACAAGGCAATCTAGAGATTCAATATAATCCCTATCAAAATGCCAACAGCATTTTTCACAGGAATGGGAAAAAATCTTAAAAATCAAAGTTTATAGAGATGTTTTCTGATTACTTTTTTTTCTCAATAAACTAGAAACAACTCAATAGCTAAGTCAAGGATTGGGGAGGAGTGTCTGAATAGAAAAGAAAGGATATATATATATCTCCTTTATTTAATGTATCTAATATATATTAATATATTTAATATATATTATGTATTATATTTAATATATATATTTATTATATTTAATATATTGATATATTTAATATATATTGTTTATTATATTTAATATATATTGAATATATATGGTGAGGCTATATATATGAATATATATATATGAGAATACCTTGTATGACTGAAAGAGAACAATGTATTCCCACTTGAAACTTGTGATCATCAATTTTAAGTAAGATAAATCTCCTTAGTTGTGTTTTCACTTGGTCACATTCAGTAGTGAGGTTTTACCCTGGCTAAGGTTTCGCAAAAGTAGCAAACATAGGGGGAGGGGGTGGGCAAGGTAGCCGAGCATATTTTCCAGAGAGTGAATATAATGATGGATGCTGAAGTCTAAGCTGGATAAGAAAAAAAAAAAAATAGGACTTTTGGACAACTTTTCTATAATAAACAAGCTTTTTTACACTGTTTGCACTTAACTTATCTGTGATACTGTTTAGTATATTCTCTGTGAGTCATTTTAGAAGCACAGTAGGATGGATCTTGCCTATAAAATCCACATTGTATTTCTTATGTTTATACATGTCACTGTGCCTCTGAAGTCAGGTAAATATTAAATACAAATAGAAATTGGTGGACAAACTTATTAAATTCCATATTGTATAATAATCAAAGTTAAAATATTTTCTATTAAAATCACATATTCAGATTCTCTTTGAAGAAGATTAAATATTTTGTTATAGATGTAAACTTACAGTCTTATAAATAGTGCTTTTCCCTTTCCCTGCCTCTATGGTAAGTGACATTTTCTAATGGTACAGGAATAAAATTGTACTTTAGTATCAATGTATTTCCTGTAAATGAATAAATTAATTATTAAAACAAAGGGAATGTTAAAATATATTTTTTAATAATTTCAATATATAGGCACTTTTTCTCTTAGTGGAGTATGTCCTTAACCCACTGTGCCTAAGTGATTATAACTTTTTATTTCAAACACTTACAGTAATCATTTTAACCTTATTAACCAATTGGCAGGAACTCATCATGCCTACTGTGTGGCACCACACCCATATACAGGGAAAGAACTTACAGCAAATAAGTAAATAAGTAACAGTTGTTTATTACTAGGTTCAGTGAAACATATGTGGCACAATATTAATCCCTAGTATAGTAGAAAATAATCAAATCATGTACATTAATTTTATCTTTTTTAATGTTAGCTCCATAGGGCTGAAGATATTTCAGTTTTCCTTATTTACAAAGTGAAGCATTAGTGTAAAAATCAACTCTGCAGTTCTTTTGTGTGTTGTCTCTGTGTCATATCTTTACTTTCCATTGCATAAATGCTGCCTCAGAATTTGCGACATGGTCATAAAGAGTCTAAACACAGGCATCAAATTTATGCTTGCACAGCACGCATGCTTGCAAATTCCACATATCAGCTGTTGAAGTTTGGAAATGATGTGGTAATTGCTACCTCACCAGAGACCAAAGAGGAATTCTTATCTGAGAAGTACAGTAAATCACATTTTGATATAAGTAGTTCTTAATACAGTCAGATATCTAATTACTGCCTGCCTGTCTGTCTACCTACAGAGAAAACTTTTATCTAGGTCAGTATAAATTATTAGTAGTAAAAGGAAAGAAAACTACAACTCAAAAACCACTGCCACGAAATAAAACTAAAACAAAGAAACCAAATATAAAAGGAAGAAACAACAAAAATAGCTTGCATCTCAAAATTTAATCTTATGTGAACTAAGAATTTTTTTTACAATATCTCTCAAACTCAGGAGCACTAAGAAATGGTACACAATTAAAAATTATTACTAATTATACTTTCAATAAAAGAAAAATTTATATAGTTGGATTCCATGAATTAAGAAAGTGTCTCATATCATACTATGTTACTGGGAACACTGTCCTGGGATTCAGAGAACATAGAAAAAGAATTTGGCATCTCCACAGAAAACAATTGCTGTTTCTTCACACCAATTATAAATTGTAAGCTCTTCAAGCTGAAACTTATTTGCAACTCAGTAGCTGTGTGCTCTTAGCTGGTCAATTCTGTTTCTCTGAACTTGTTTTTTTCTAGTTATGGGTGTGTGTCAGGCTAATACATAATAATATTTTAACTACTTCAGAAGATTGTGAATGTGGATCAATGGACAATAATCATAATCATAATTGCTTACAATTACATAGTGCTTACTGTCCCCTGCTGTTGTAAACACTTTACAGGTGTTAATTTATTTAATCCTTACAACAACCATAAGAAACAGTGCTATTATGAAGTCCAGTTTTTGGATAAGAAAACTGAGTTTTAGAAAGATAAAAACACTTGGGGAAGAGCATTCAAATATTAAGTAGCAGAGGTGAGATTCATACTCATGATCATCTGTCTTCAGAATTGTAGAAATTAATTTAGTATTTACAAAGACCTAGGCAAAGCCCTATTATTTTCTTATTGCATAAGGGCATAGCAATCATGAAGATGACCAGAAAGATAACCCCCAAAAATTCCTTCCTTGCGTTATTAATAAAATATTAGAGACATAAGAGAGGATTACAGAATGATGCTTCAACTGTACTCAGTACTCTTGAAGCACGAACCAAGAGAAAGTAGGGAAAAAAAAAAGCATAAACTGTGTTCTAGGTTTAGAACACATCAAATGCCTGAAACAATTTTGCAAACACTGAAAATTTGACAAAAATCCAAACCCAAATTGCCCCAGAAGTTGTTATCCATTAATTCTTTAAAGTATGTGTATTTCTAGGGAACTAAAACCGTTACTTGCCTAATTCAAATTATCAAAATGTTTCTAAGGGCTATGTGCTGTTGTAGAATTTTTCTGATGATTATTTGAGAAAATAAACGTGCTAGTTTTAAGTGAAACTGAAATAACATGAATTGGTTTAAATGCCCTTCTAGAGAAAGTCTACGTCTCCAGCTTCATCTCACATACCAAACTAGTTACATTTATTTCTTAAATCATTACTAAATATTAATTATACTATTGATGCTTATTATTAATGGAACATTAATAATGGGCAGGACCCATATGGTCATTAATTGTTATATTCTTAATACTCCAGCTCCTATCAAATCCCCTTCAATCTGGGTTGTGAGAGCCTCTCCAACTTTTTCTGATAATCTTACAGAGATTGAAGTAATAAATATAGTAGATTAATTCATTTCAAACCTAAAATTATTAGAGTGGTGAAATAAAAAAAGCACTCACAATTTTAGTGGTAAATATAAATAGATTAACAAAATAGTGCTTTATTCTGAGTTCTTAATATGTTGTCAAAATGTATATTATACCAAAATAATTTCTCCAAATGTATCTAGGCCAACTGATTCTTCCCTGTTTAGGCACTCAAATCTCCAGGCTAATAGCATTTTTCTATGATAAAAATAATGATTTAGTAAGTTGAGTATGCATGATCTTCTAGGCCCAGTAGACTTGGTTTCAAGAAAAATAATTATTCATTCATTTATTAGTTGATGTATTTACTCTTTCAATAACAGCTACTATGTGCAAGCACTGTAATGGGCATTGGGGAAAGAGTAAATGTCATCAGGGCCTTCAAAGAATTTACCTTCTCCTGGGAAAAGTAAATACAGAAGCAAATAAGTAAGGAAATTGCATTTTGTGATAGGTGTTCTGATATGAATAGTAATTGGAATGGCTACTTTAATTAACATAATGTGGTAGCGAGTCGCCAGAGATGTACCCACCCCCTTCCCTTCCCCCCATCCATAAACCATGTGTTCTTGTATTCATGCCCTAGTGTAGTCCCCTCCCCTTATATCTATAATGGCCATATGATTTAATTTTGGCCAATGAAACACAGAAGTGATGCCTCATGGCTTGGAGGGTAAATTATAAGAAACATTGCAGCTTCTGTCTGGATCTCTTGGAATGCTTGTCCATGAATCCAGCTTCCATGCTGTGAGAAGCTCAAGCCACATAGTGTTTGGGTTGGCACCTCCACCTGGGCTCACAGCCAACATCAAGTATCAACTTCTAGCCATGTGAGTTAGCCATCTTGGATGTCCAGCTCACCAGAGCCTTCAGATGACTATAGTCCCATCTGCCATCTTAATGAAACTGCTTGGAGACCTTAAGTGAGAACCAACCAGATAAGCCCGGTCAACCCATAGAACAATAAGTGATAAATTGTTGTTTTAAGCCGCTAAGTTTTGGCATAGTTTGTTAAACAGCAATAGATAACAAAACTGTTGAGAAGTTTATAGTATAGCTTCTAATGTAGGAAAGATATCAGGCACAATTACTAAGTAACGAAGTTTGCATTTTTGATATCTATCATCCTTCCCTATCCCCAGGTAACCTGCTATCCTTGGACTCTGGCATTTTCAAAGGTTCATAGATGGCCTTTTATTTGATTTATTTGCCAGAAATCTTTCAGCCATGATTGTGATGAATTGAATGCAAATTGGTATTAACAAAATAGAGAATTTACTGTGCCCCGCTTCACGCCTGTAATTACAGCACTTTGGGAGGCTGAGGCGGGTGTATCACATGAGGTCAGGAGTTTGAGACCAGCCTGGCCAACCTGGTGAAATCCCATCTCTACTAAAAATACAAAAAATAGCTGGGCGTGTGGCGGGCACCTGTAATCCCAGCTACCTGGGAGGCTGAGGCAGGAGAATCACTTGAACCCATGAGGTGGAGGTTGCAGTGAGCCAAGATCACACCATTGCACTCCAGCCTGGGAGACAGAGCGACATTCCATCTCAAAAAAAAAAAAAAAAAAAAAAAAAAAGAGAGAATTTAATGGTTTCCATAATTGAAAATGCCAATGGTATATCAAATCTAGTCAGCTGGCTGCAGGAATTCAGAGCATGTCTGAGAAACGAATTTTGTCTTTCTCTCTTTCATCCATTGCTCTGTTTTCTTCTGCATTGTTTTTGCTTATCCTTTATTGCACAGTCTCTCTTCTGGCAGCCTCAGGGTTATATTCTAACACATTTCCAACCACCTAAAATTAAGGTTCCTTCTATTAACCAGTAGATTCAGCAGATTTCCCTCGTTATTTCTCTTTGACTTGGTTTAGAAGATAATGTTCTACCATATTCTACAACTTCTAGGTAACACTGACTATGACAGGACTCAATCTTGGTCAAAAGGAATACTTTGTGTCCCTAGTCATGGTGTCTAGCTCATATATTATCTTTCAAGCTAGGTTAAGGAGAAACAATTTGAAACATTTTTTAGAACTATAGAAAAAAGGAGTCAATATTTTCTGAAAGGTTTGAAAGGCTTCTAGAATATTGCATAGGTATGCATCAAATATTTCAGACATACTGAAAATGTTTTCATGGTTTATCAAAAGTTTATATTTAACTAAGTGTCCTATATTTTACATGCTAAATCTGGCATACTTAAGAGATTATTTGCCTACATGATGAATTGGACTTTTCAGATATGTTAATATGCATGCCCTAAAGGGACACTCATAAGTGAAATGATAATAAAATAATAATGAAACAAACTATACACAGCAATGATGGAATTTTCTATGCCAAAAATAATCCAAAGCCCTTGGCATGCAAAACTCCTATAATCTTATAAAAGTATTGTGAAATAAATGATCTCATTATCTTTGCTTACACATAAGGAAGTTGGGGCAGAGAGGTTAAATAACTTGTTGAATGTGATACAACCAACAGGAACGAAGCTATTATTGAACTAAATTGTATGGCTCCAGAGACCTTTTCCAGATTAATTATTTTAATAGCGTTATCATTATTGCATTTCAAGGTGAGATTAACACAGTTACTCTGATGAAGACTAACCTTGCATTTTTTTCTACTTGCATTTCCATAGCTAGCTTTCTAGAACTATAATGGCAAAGGCTATATTTGTTCCAGATATTTGAATTCCAAATGCAGTATTATTTCAGATAAGTTAACAAAACCATTTTGCCCTATTAGCATGAAATTCAGCATCTTTCTCATTCCCAAATAGTCTGCTAAAAAGAGGGTAAATCTAGCTTCACCTCTATAGAACATGTCTTATCAAGCTTTAACAGCATTTGCTTCTTGCTATTACATTATATCACTGTGGAAGATAAGTCCTTAACAACGGGGCAAATGACATTTTCTAACATATATAGGTACCTATTGTGACTCTGTATTCATGCCCAGAAATGAGTGCCTCTACAAGAAAAGAATTTAAATTAGTCATGGATTATTCATTTTCGGGGTCTCAATATTCAAGGTCTTAATCCAACAAATTTTCTACACTCTGGGGGAAAATGGCCCCTGAACTCGATTCTCACCTTATAAATCAGAATATCCATAGCCCTTTGAATTCACTCAGGAATAAAGAGAAGAAAACTAAAATTAAATGCTGGCAACCCTTTTTGGTTGAATATTCCAACACATATATTATGCTTTCCCCCGTCACTCTTCAAAATCTAGGTGTTTTATAAATTTTATAGATGAGGAAATGAGAATTTTTTTCAAGTAAATTTCATAATAACTTGGTTCCAGTTCTGGGCTCTCAGAGGAACATATTTTTTACACAAGTTGTTGCTATAGGTCAGTGGTCAACAGGATTACAGTTAGAAGCTTTCAACTGGATTTATAATGATATTTTTAAATTTTCCAAATAGAAGTTGACGTTTCTTTGGCTGCTCAAATATTGCCAAAATATTTATAACATCCTGGCTGATTTCCAACATATCTACTGTAGTGTTAAGTCATTTTAACGTAAGTATATTATGGTTAAAAGTGCCTAATTAAAATATGTGCAATGTAGGTGGTCTTTTATGATGGATTTCTATGCCAAATTTCCACACTTATATACAAAAACAAAAACATACCTATTCTAAACAAAAAAAAAAATTCTCAAGACCACTTAGCAAAGAAATTAGGGGAAAAAAAAAGCATTCACTGCATTAGGTCATAGATTCTCAGCTTTCCAACTCTCCTCCAAAGACCAATATTACCTTCCCGAGGGAGAGAATCACCATGTTTTATGAAAAGATACTTTTTTATGAATTTGTTCACGTGGTAAGCCAGAAGGCATTTGTGCTTGCCAAGGTAGGGAAAGTTTTCAAATAAATTTGCAACCAGCTACTCATCACGGGTCTTGTGAGAAGAGCAAGTAAGACACACATTGCTGTGCCTCACTGCCATTCATTTGCTTCCCTCCTTAGCACTTTAGCCACCTCCTGGGTAAGGTGAGACTTGTCTCAGGATGTAACAGCTTGATTTTTCCTTTACAAAGAAAAGACAAGGTGGGGAGCATAGCTGATACAGCAATAGGTAGAAGAAAAATCTACAAGCATATGATTTCTTACAGTGAAGCTCTTGGTCACCTGCATTATGATCACCAAGCTTCCTGGTTGCAAATATTCATCCTTTAGGACCACACTAGATCAACTCTTCCAAATCTCTCTGGATGGGGCAGAGGAATTTACCATTTAAATATTTAAGTCAATCCTCTAAACATGAGGTATTGTATACCCTTTTAATGATAGTGATCTGGAGGATATAGAAAACTATTTTATAAACTTGGCACATTATTCTGAAGGATCATGTTTAAGAGCATAGCTATGGAATCAGATAACCCTGGGTTCAAACACTGACCTTATCACTTCAGAGTTATCCATTAATTAGACTCTTCGAGTATCACTTCACTGAATTGAGAATATTGAATGAAAAGGTATGTGTAAACGCTTTACATAGTGCCTGGTATATACTAAGCACCAATAAATGGAACCTATTATTATGAAAAAAAGCATCTCAAATAAAGATACTACTAAACAGAATTTATGAGAAGCATGAATTTCTATTTTGAAACAAGGGATTTAAAGAAATGTTTCATTTGAAGCTGGTCTTTTCTGTTTAGGTATCATTGTTATTCACTCTCTTCCTTCCTTAGCACCTCCTGCTCTACCTTATTCACACCTTCTTGAAAGGTTTAAGATGCTGTTATCTGAGGGGAGAATGACTTTTTATATTGTTTTTTTATTTAAAGTATTTCTAGTAGCTAGTCCTTTCTTTGAAGTCTTACTATTATTAGGACTTGCTATTATCTAGTTCTTTCTTTGAATACATAGTGTTGCAAAGACTCAGAACTGACCAGGGCTGAGAAAATGACTAATGCAAACTAAAATACACTTGAGACTAAGTCAGATAACAGAACACCAGATTATTCATTTTAAACAGAAAAAAATAAATGTCAAAGATTGTAAATAATTGTATTGGCATAATCATATTATTCCCCTTAGTCAAGCTATAGAGAAGCCAAAAATATTAAAAGGCAACAATTTGTATTTAAAATCAAAAATTGTATTTGCAGAGACTTTTAAAGTATCAGATGAATGAAAGTTTGTACTGTAATCTGAAGTCATAGAAATCAGAAGGTCACTAAAAAGGACATTGACTCAGAAAAAGACTTCTACAAGTCAAATGTTAATGGCTGTAGGTTACAGTATAATTTTGCCACAGGTTCTATAACCTTTATAGCCTAAAAAGGCCTATAGACATTTCCACTTGAGATTTATCTCTGTCATCAATGCTGGTAAGTTTGAGATCCATTAGCTAAGATTTCCTTTCCTGTGGACAACCAAAGACAGTATCCATCCAAGGTTGTCCTTTTTGTTGACATTTTTCTTTTTTTTTTCCCCTTCAAAACCACACAATACACTCTAACTTTAATAACCTTACCTTTTAGGTATGTTAATACATTAAGCTGTAAAGGTTGTGACTTGTTGATGAATCCAAGTCTGAAAAATGCTATGCATGTCCCACTCTGTTTCTTTCATCTCATTCTGTCCTTAATCTTACTATTATATAAATGTCACTTGCATACCAATATTTAAAATACTAAACCACTTTAACAACTTACAGAAATTTTAGAATAAATTTTCTTACAAGATTGCAGTCCTATTTCTATTAATAGCTATTATAACATATATTTATTCACATAAGAAAAAATAGCTACACTAGAGTTACTACAGAGTATACCCATGTAACAAAACTATGCATGTATCCGAATTCAAAATAAAAGTTGAAGTAAATATATAAGAACAAAAAAGTATACAAAAGGAAATAAATACTTAATCTTTAATCAATTCAGTCGTTTCCTTCTTTTCCATTCCATAAAGATTTACACAGTGCCTATGATGTGCTGTGCATCATTGTAAATATTATAAACATTGTTTCAAGGATTTTTTTGAAAAGAGAGCAAATGAGGAAGATCAGTAGGTATTAAGGTTAGAGTGGTAGGAAGTGGCTAGAATATGAGAGACTGTAACAATGATAAAGAGTTTAAATTTATATCTATATGAAGCTATCAGAAAGTTTTAAGCAGTATTAAATGATACTTTCACCCTCAGCTGCAACATGTATACTCAGCAAGCTGGCCAATAGCTAGCTGAGTTAACTGACCTGGGCAGCTGATTCTAATAATTTAGTTCCTCAAAATGAATTTAATCCAAATAAAGTCAATTTGAGGGTGTGAAATAAAATTTGCCCAGCAATTAATGAGTGTGTGTCTATGTGTGTGTGTGTGTGTGTGTGTGTGTGTGTAAGAGACAGTCCTAGCTGAACAGGGTAAGAGTTTACCTCAAAGACATCCTGAAAATTTATTTCATATTATCCTTTTATAGTTCACAAAACTCTTGATAATAACATTTAGTGTAATTATACTTTAATAATTTATTTGAGAAAAGTAAAACCTTATTTTAGGTCCATCTTAATTCAAAATTCATGACATTTCATGAAAAAATGGTATTACAGTTAGCCTTGTTTTAGCAACTCTTTTGTCTTCTCACAAAGTATAAAATTTCATTGAAAAATATAAAAATGTATTATTAAAAAACGAGATTTTTCAGGGGTAGACTCTCTAAAACTTTCTAATTCCTGTTACTTATGTTCCTCTACATTTTTATCCTGAGGTTCCTAATTTCCAGAGGAAATGCAATTCCTAAAATCTATGAAGCATATTGATGTGATGTTTGCTGACTCACATAGCTGAACAGGGAAATAAAGTAAAAATGAATGAGTAAGTATAATTTCCCTCAAATCGTAATGTTCCAGCTCACAGAGTTTTAGGTATCATCTAAAGCACAAGATAATTCTTTGCTAAATGTGCATTTCTAGAGAGTCTAAACAAGTTTACCTTTTCCTTGTGCCTGTCTGATTAGAATGCCCCCTCAATTCAGTCACAGGATATTCTCCTTAGGTAACTTCTTAATACCTGATTGGTTGTAGACACTACATGCCTCTAATTTTGGCCGAGAATCACAATAAGATGACCGGGTGCTCATTTTTGGTGTCCTTATATTCACTAAACACAGGTATCCAAGCATTAGAATATCTCCATATGAATATCTCTTGCTAATGGTGACTTACACCCCTATTTCCTGCAATCGAACATACATATGCCAAGCTTATTAATTAGGAAATTGTTGTTGTAGGAAGCTGGCTCAGGTTGTTTTAAAATTGTACTGAAAGAGAACTACAAAATAAAAGTACAGGGCATAGTTATAAAACCCACAGGCAGGAATCCAGACCCCTTGCAGAAAAGCCTTATGTTAAAAAGTGCTAGACAGGAAGAACTCCCTGGGATTCTCCCCATTTCCTCTTTTCTTCCTTCTGCAGACTTTATTTACTCTTTTCTTCCTTTTCAGCCCAAACTGTTCTACCTCTATCCACATGAGCCCCAACAGCTCTCAATTTACTAAACCAAATTTAATACATGAAAAGATGTATTAATCTCTTATGTCCCAATTCTCAAACCCCTATTAGTGTAAATTTAACTTCTTCAATCTCTGGGCTGGGATCTTCTCATTGTTTGATTAGGTATTGCTGGTGATGTGGAGCAAATACTGTTGAAGAGTCCCAGACTGTGAATGGTGGAGCAGATCCCCACTCAGAGAAAGAGTCATTGGCTCATAAGTAGAACAACACCGTCTGAATAAAAATAGCTTTTTCATTTGCCAAAAAAAAATTACCTGCAGAGGATGACTGTGTTTAAAATATTTCAGTTGCTACATTTTGTAGTCTACTAAATATCAGTATTGTCTGATAGGTAAGATCAGAAAGTTTCTATGAATCACTACAGAAATGCAAATTCAAATAAACATGTCTCAGTAGGTTTTACCATATAATTATGCCCTTGGTTATCAGATTTCCGTACCATTTTACCCAATCCTAAGTCACTGATTTATCTAAAATGGGATATATTAGGTTTCAAACAACAAGGTATGGAATTTATATAGCATACCCTAACCCTGTATAAAATGGGAAAGAATAGAAATCTGTGTATCTATTTTTAATAATTGCAAAAATAAATGCTAGAGAAATAGCCATAAAATTACTATGTATGGATGAAGAAGAAAACAAAGTAGAGGGATCAAATATAGAAATTAATATTCCCTGCATGTAACTGGTTATGTGTTTTGACTTTGGGATAATGTGATTTATATATTTATAAATAAAAATAATTTAAAATAACTACAATTTCTAAAATTGAAACCAAACTTATAAATTCAAACTGAATATAAAGTTGATTGCATAGTCACTAAAAAAAGAACAATTTGAAGTGATTTTAAAATTTGATATTTTGACTATAGATCTAAAGTAGAAATGCAGTCTAAGGACAAAGTAAAACTATAAAGACATCTCAAACTTCACTCACTTTTGATTTTTAGTGATAAGATTGTTATTATTTTGAATCTAATATACACACATACACATAGCAAATAATTATGTTAATGTTTTAGGACCGAAGGATTTTAGTATAAGGAAAAAACCATATAAATATAACAGCAAAATAAATTGTAATAATATACTTTTTGGAAATATTTGTATCAATTATTTTTTCCCAATAATCATATATCCTAGCTCTGTTCACTAAAAGAGCCTATCAACAATAGCTGCCCAGTAGGAATAGGCACTCCATCTTCAAAACTGTGAACTCTGAAATTTTACAGCAACTACTACTTCTGCAAGATTTGGCTGATTCCAAGACTGGTGTAAGAACTGTTCAAGGTGAGTTTTTCACATCTGTATGAGAAACAATATTACCAAACTTGAAACTGAATCAAAGGAGCAGTATATTCTGATAATGTTATATCAAAGGACTTTGGAACTAAAATGAAGAATCTCCAACTAAACAAAGATGAGAATATTTGTGCAGAAAAATAAAACAGGTTCTATTGGTCAATACACATTAGTCTTTATTAACTCACTGTTTTTAAAAATACATTTTTAAATCCATATTACCTCAAAAATACATGTTTTTACAAACATTGAGTTAATAAGGATACTTGAAGAGAGGATATAGTCAATGAATAACAATCACATTAAATAACAAAAACAAAAAAGTACTGATTTCTATCTAAACATCTAGAGCACCATTTCCTTATTCTAAAATTGGCAATTAAAGGAAAATTTAATATCTTCCCTAAAGCCCCTCATGTTAACTGTATTTTGATATACTACAGTAGTCCTAGCCAATGATGAAAAGTGCTTTTTAGAAAAGAATTAAGCTAATACATGAGGAAGAAATGCCAGAATAAAATCATTGCTATTTTGCAATTTGCAGTAAATCAACTGTTTCAGGCAGAGGAATAAACAATTAGAAGAAAGATTGATGGGGAACTTTACAAAGAAAGGATTAGGCTGTTGGCACAGAACCTATGATTAATCTTACCATTATTAAACACTAGAAAGCAGGATATTGTATCCCTCCTAGAAACAGTATCACCAAAGTTGAAACTGAATCTAAGCAAACTTCTAGATATCACTTCCTGGTTTTGTTTGTTTGTTTGTTTGTTTGTTTTTGAGATGGAGTCTCGCTCTGTCGCCCAGGCTGGAGTGCAGTGTTGCAATCTCGGCTCACTGCAAGCTCCGCCTCCTGGGTTCACACCATTCTCCTGACTCAGCCTCCCCAGTAGCTGGGACTACAGGCGCCCTCCACCATGCACGGCTAATTTTTTGTATTTTTAGTAGAGACGGGGTTTCACCGTGTTAGCCAGGATGGTCTCGATCTCCTGACCTCATGATCCGCCTGCCTCAGCCTCCCAAAGTGCTGGGATTATAGGTGTGAGCCACTGCGCCCGGCCAAAACTACAGTTCTTACGACTAGACAATTGACTTAGTATCTGCCATGTGATAAGAACATGAAAAAAAAGGAGGCAGGAGTTAGAGAAAAGAGCTTATCCTAAATTAACAAAGATCCAAGAAATACAACAACCAGCTTGCAGCTTAAGTGGGTACTTATTTGAACAAATTGAGTTTAAACAGACATTTTTGAGACAATTGAGGAAATATGAATATAAACTGTATTAAATATTAAGGAATTACTGCTATTTTTTCTTAAATAGGTGTGGCAATGAAATTGTTCAAAAGAAGAAAAATCTCTATCATTTTGAGAGATATTTTAGGATTGTCTGTAGGCAGAATGGCATGAGGTCAAAACTTGGAGGGAAAATGAAAAAGCAAGCATATAAATCTTGATAATTATTGAATCTAGATACTGGGTAAATAAAGTTCTCTTAACTTTGTCTAATTTTCTTTTTAATATTTCCTATATTTGGAAATTTTAGTTTAAAACACCTAAGTTAATATAAATATTCTACCAATATAATTTCAAAATTATGACTAGTGCTTCTGCTTGAAAACTTGGACTGTATCCTCTGTATGCTTTTTGTTGCATCAACTAAGTAAAGAATATCTGAAAAAAAGTGATAAAACTAAGAAAATAATATCTGAAAAAAACATGGCATTCAAGATGAGAAAGAAATCTCAAAAACAAAAACAGCAGAGCTTGGCCATAATATTTTTACAATTTTACTCTATGCTCACAGCAACTGTATGTTGTTGATTATTTTAAAAGAAAAATTTTAAATTGAAAAGGAGGGAATTCTTTTTAATTTCTTGCATAGGTCAGCATTACTCTGATACCAAAATCAGACAAGGACATAAAAACAATAAAAGCCCATAGACCCATATCCCTAATGAACATATGCCTGTAGACCTAGCCTCATGCCCTAATGCCTCATGCCTGTAGACCTAGCTACTCAGGGAGCTGAGATGAGAGAATCACTTGAGTGCAAGAGTTTGAAGTTGAAGTGAGTCATAATCTTGTCACTGCACTTTAGCTTAGCAAGACAGTGACTCAAAAAAAAAAAAAAGAAAAGGAAAATAAAAGCCAAAATTATGTGTATATATGTGTGTGTATATATATATATATATATATATATATATATATATATATATATAATACTAGCAAGCCAAATGTTCAATTTTCTATTTCTCCCTCAATTTTGCCAATTTTTGTGTATTTTTGGGTTGTGATGGTAAGCACTTATTTGTCTATAATTGTTATGTAGCCCTGGTGGATTTACCTTGCTATTATTTTAAATATCTCAATTTGTTTTCAGTAAAATTTTTTGTTTGGAAATCTATTTTGACTGATTTTTTTTTTAATTTTTAATTTTTGTGGGTACATAGTACTCATATATGTTTATGGGGTGCCTACAATATGTTGATACAGGCATATGGTGCACAATAATCACATCAATGTAAATGGTGTGCCAATCACCTCAAGCATTTATCTTCTGTGTTACAAACAATCTAATTATATTCTTTATTTAAAAATGTACAAATAAATTGTTATTGACTACAGTCACTCTGTTGTTCTATCAAATACCAGATCTTATTCATTCTTTCTATTTTTTTGTACCAATTAACCATCCTCACTTTCCTCCCAAGCCCCTAATCCCTGGCCTGGTCTAATATTATTATAATCACTCCAATTTGGTTGCAATTACTGTTTGAATAATATTTTTATTCTATTTTTAATGAATTTATATCTTTGTATCTGAATTGTGCCTGCTGTAAACACCATAAAATAACATTGTTGTTTTTTTTAAGAGTAATCTGAAGATTTCTGCCTTTTGATTGATTGCTTAATCCACTTATATTTAATATGACTATTAATATGTCTTCTATTATATCTCCCCATTTGGTTTTTGTTTTCTATGTGTTTCATTTCCATTGTTTCTTTATTCCTCTTATTTTGACTTTCTTTGTATTAAGTAAACATTTCTAGCATAACATTTAGTTATTCTAATAAGTTATAATGCTATATTTGAGAGGTTTTTTTTTAGTTTAAATATTCTATGTCAGTGGTTATAAGGAAATGGAAGAGAAAAATGAACAAATTTCTCAATGGAGGTGAATAATCATCTCTAGGACTTCTGGTGTTCCTTTCTAGAGATAAGTTCTCTTCAACCCCCAACTGAATCACTATTATTATCAAGGTATGTTCCTGATGGGAGTGTATTCTGTGCTGGGGTAAGGGGGAAAGCATTTGAGAACCACCGTTCTATGTAAAGCAAAACAGAATCCCATCATTTATGTCAATATATAAACAACTACAGACTGGGCACGGTGGCTCACACCTGTAATCCCAGCACATGTAAACATATATAACATGCATATATATATATATATAATTTTTATATTATATGTATTTATTACATAATAAGCAATGCCAAGGTGATTACTTCAATTACTTTTCCCAAAATCCAGTGTTTTTATATTTGTCACTATACTGGATTCTTGAGGTGAATATTGATCACAAGATAATGCTTTAGTTTTTGAACTAAAGCCAAAAAGTTAATCTGTTTACTTGTTGTTGAGGTTTAAAGAAAATGGAGAAGCTTTGATAATGAATTAAACCTGTTAAAGCAAACATCCGGGGCACCTGGATTTGGGATTTCTATATTTTCTCTGCAAAAAGCCTCTACATTTTTTTCCATAGGAAGCCCAGCAAAACTTATTGAGGCATGCATTTAAGAAACCATGGCTAAAGGTATGTGTCCTTGCAGCTCTAAATGCCTATTAATTGTCTAGATCATCTTAAACCACAGGCAAGTATAGATTATTGTACTAATTCCAGGAAAATCTCTCCGCCTCTCTGTCCTACTGAACAAATCCTTTCTTTCCCCATCCCTCATTCAGAATTTGCAGAAATTATATTAGATATATTTTTCCAAAGTTATCTTGAATGTTTAATTTAATTTTGGAGCAGTTATAAAGCTCCAAAATTAAATTAAACATTCAAGATAACTGGAGCTGATCGTGAATAACAGGTAAAGGAAATCTTCAGTGTGCTTGGAATTCCTGATTCTCCTGCATCTATAAACTTTTTTGAAAGGTCTATTAGTCTATTTTTTGTTGTCTATAACAGAATCTAAAACTGAGTAATATATAAAGAAAAGCAGTATATTTCTTATATTAATGGAGGCTAAGGTGTTCAAGGTCAAGGGGCCATATCTGGTGAGAGCTTTCATGCTCGTGGGGACTCTCTAAAGGGTCCTAAGATGTCACAAGGCATCACACGACAAGGCAGCTGAGTGTGTTAACATGCTTCTTGGATCTGTCTTCCTCTTCTTATAAAGCTACCTGTCATACTCCCAGGATAACCTATTAGTCCACGAATGAGTTAAGCCTTTCATGAGTGCTCTAAAAGCCTCTTCAAGGGCCCATCTTTGAATAGTGCCACATTGGGGATTAAATTTCAACATGATTTTGGGAGAGGACAAGTATCCAAACCATAAAAAAAGGAAGGCATTTCTGCCCATAACCAACACTGGAATATTTCACCAATTTTGCTACTGTGCCTTTCTGAAAAGCAGACTGCAGATTCCCCACTACATTTTTAGGTTCAAATTCTATGAACACACAATTGTCCATTTACACACGAAGAGATATCCAAAATACCTTCAAATAAGAGATTGGACATTTATTTTGGAATAAACATTTTCTATTTCTATATGAATAGCTATTTCCTATCATCTTATAATATTGATTTTTAATGTTTAAATGAAGAGAGTACTAAATATTTGAGGGCAATCTTTATATGTTATACATGTAAGATCGTTCTCAAAAATTAACATTTCTAGTTAATTATGAGAATAAACTTTCAAGTTACTGTTTCAAATAAACATAATCCTCACTTTTTCCAGACACTGCCTTGAAGAAACCTAGGCTTTTCCATAGAACAAAGAACAAGTTTTATTTTAAAACTCAAAAACTGTCATGTTGTAACCTGAAAATGCCTAAAGGATTTTTTAAATGTCATCAGTTCGAAAAATAATCTTCTGATTTTGTAATTGGCTTTAGCCAGTGTGTTTTAAGACATCACTGTGACAGATCAAGAGTTTCAATTTCTCAAGTTTATCATATTTTAGTATATATAGTTCAATTGCTGGCTTAATTTTTTGATAAGCTCTAATAAAAAATTTAGACAGAAAAGAAGCTATTATCATTTTTAAAGACAAAGCTGTTAAAGATATTGTAACTCTGAAGGTATTTTGCCAGTAATGAAGTAAGATATAAAATAGTGAAGGTGATGAAGAAATAGGAAAAATAACCTCTCAATATAAGAATGCTTATAATTTGAAGATAAAAACCTGTGAATTGTAGTTCATTAGAAAATAATTTACCACTAATTTTTTACAGCTGGATTCAAGATATAGGACAGGCATACAAGAATGGGCTTCAATTTTTATTAATTTTCTCTTCTGCTGTATTTTATTTTCCAAACAATCTACAGGGCAAGCCGCATTATAAGGGCTGTGGAAATAGAGTCTTGATGGGAAAAGCTGCAAAGTCATATTGCAAAGGCATGGATATTAGAACTAAATAATTGGGGCAAGATATGTGTTGTAAAGGAATGAAAGCATTTCTGTAGGAAATAAAAATCTGAATTTATATTTCTGGTAATATACAAATATACACACATATATGGTATATTAATAAACGGATATAAGTATATGTATATTTTTCCAAGAATCCAGAGAATCAGTAAAAGTGTATTCCTTAGCATATATAGATATGTAAAGTTTTCTACTTCTCTTTAATTCCACTACCATTGCTTAAGTATGAACCATTACACTTCTCTTTTAAAATACTGCAGTGGTCTCCTAAAAGATGTCTCTTCATTTTTCCACCCCCCACCCCCCCTGCCAATTTTCTTTTTCCTGTAGCATAATCAGATTGATCTTCTAAGAATGTGATCATGCAATGTATCTCTGCTACCTAAAATTCTGCAGTGGCTTCTATTTGCACTTACAGTAATGTCAAAATTATTTCTCATGGCCTGAAGAGCTCTAAACAATGTGGTCCTTGCCTGTATTCCCAACCTTACATCATGGCACTCCTCTGTGTTTAATGCACTCCTGCACAGGGTCTCTGTGATAGTTGATAAAATGCATCAAGTCCTTAGCCTTACATGTATGAAGAAGTATTAAGACTTTGGAGTTATGTTGAGAGCTTACAGATTGGCTTGCAAAACTAATCTGCCACTATACTCAATAAATTTTAATTCCTCATTTATTTCTTGGTGCAATGAAGCAATATAGCACTTCTGAACTAGCCAAGTCCCCAGTCTTTGGAATTCCAACTTTCTTTTCTCATTAGAAAAATTCTAAAATGAGTATCACCTCAAGCTCAGTTCGATTCCATTTACTGGGACCAAACGTGACCTAAAACAGAAGAAATTTTGCTTCTTACCTTCTTGTATTCAATATTATTGTTGCTGCTCATTCAAATGTGATGCTGTTCCAGTTATATTGTTTAAAAGTTTGCTATGACAAGTCCTTGACAAGACACTTTTTTTTTTCTGTAAGATTCAGTCATTGTCCTTAATGAGCTCTCAGGTTCAAATTCCTCATCTCTATACCTTTTATTCTGAGAAGACCTTGTTCCTATCTGTCCTCCCCATCCAAATACCCAATCTTATAACTGTAATCAGCTTTGAATTTTGTTTTACTCTTTCTTTTCTGGAATCTGACCAATAAGTAGGTATTTTCATAGGTGGGAGGGTCTGTGGTGGACTGTCATTTCCTCTCCCAGAAATAAAGGCATTTACCCTTAAAAGAGATCCTCCAGTTTGTGCCTCAGTTCCAAAATAGCAATTATATGAATTGCTTCCAATTTGATAAGTTGGTTAATTTAACTTAATTGTAATATGCTCTTTATTTCTTTAGCTTTGCCTTCAAGTCCATCTATTCCTATCTTTCTAATATTTGCCAGAGTAGTAAAAATCGATATGTTTACAACTCCTCATCAATTCAAAAAATACAACATAACAGTAGTTATTGGTGGAATAATTGTGCCACAACACTTATTTCATATGCAAAATGTTGGTCCATGATTTATCCATAGAAATAGAATAGACTGAAAATTATGCCTATACAGCCGATTAAAAAGTCTTATCATTGTGCTTTTATTAAAGGTAATCTAAGGAGATAACCAGTGTCAATAATTTGCCAAGGCATGGGTTCCACCTTTCAAAAACTTTATAAATAATTCAACTTTAGGTGAAGGAGCTGATATTTTTAAGTGAATGTGTTTACTTGATCTACAAATTCACGAAATTTTAAATTCAAATGAAGAATTTGCCTAGCCAATTGCTTTACATTTGCAACTCTAAAGTCTCTTCTAGAAAGCTACATAACAAAGTGATATATTAGAAAATGAGGAGACAGATTGGTTCCAATCTGGTATCAACATTTTTATCTTTATGATTATATTAGTTTCCTAATACATTATCTTCTCTAACAAATTACCGCAAACTTGGTGGCTTAGAATAACATACACTGACTCCCTTGCAGACCTGGATGTCATAAGTGCAAAATCCTTTTCACTGGGCCCAGACCAAGGTGTCAGCACTCCTCTGGAGGTTCCAGGGGAGAATCTGTTTCCATGCCTTTTATAGCTTCTTACAGGGAGTAGGACCTGAATATCTTTAATTCTACCTCAAGATTATTCAGCCTACAACAATGACCTTGTGTAACTCTTACCCTCAGTTTCTTCTATAAAATCGGGCTAATCAGGATATTTTGAGAACTAAATAAAATGAAATCTTTAAAGCACCTAGAAAAATGTCTAAGAGTGATAGAAACCTAATTAATTACAGTTGTGCTATCACAGGCAGCAACATTTCCTAATTTACATTTACCTTTTGCTTTTTGATTTAATATGAAACCTCTTTTTGGCACTTTATATAACCATAATATTTCAAGAGAAAATGTTTTTTAAAAACAGAAGTTAATTTTCCAAGTTTGTACATGACTGTATGTAATTACTTTTTGAGGCTTGCTATTTCTCTGACTTTTTCCACGTTGGTATTTTGGATTATTGGACGTGTTAGCATATCAAGAAAAGATAATCAAACCCCTGATTTCTCAGATATAATGCCACAAAGGCAAATACCAGCATATCCACTAATGTTTCAGAAGTTCATTTTGTGCGCACTGAGGAGAATTATTTGGACTTCACTTTTAGAATTGCAGACATCTTCGTTGTAACTGAAACTTATCAGCGAAGTCATCACTTCCATTATATATAGAGTCAGACTTAGTGATTATAATACTGACAGTCAAAGTAAGTTCAAGGAGAAACTTATCTCTTTTAAACCTGTCTAAATCATATATCTCAAGGTCTCTGAAAGTTATTCGAATGACTAAAGATTTTTCAGGATATCTGAGGGAAAGAAAGCTATCAAATTAGTACAGCATTTAAGAAGTGACTTCTTAGTAAGAAAGAGACATTGATTAAGACATATAGGCTTAATCTTATCAGAGACCAAAACCAGGGTTTGGAACAATAGATTTGTATCACAAGCATAGCTCAGGAACTAATCTTCTACTTTTGACTATAAATGACATCAAATACTTCACACTAGTGTTTGTTTAAATAACTTTGTAATAATGCCATATTTTAAAAGAGCCTAGAATATTGGAATTAGATTTCTTTTTACCTAATCAAGTTTTCATATAAACAATGTTAATATCTGACTGTATCTTTAGATTGCCAAATCATTGGGCATATTTATTTATTGTGAAATATATCCTAAGATATTTAATTCTCAGATTTTGCATGGCTGGCTACTTCTCATTATTCAAATCTTGGCTGAGATATCACCTGCTACGAAAAGCCTTTAATGAATATTATCCTAAATTACTATTTCCTATCCAGTTACTCTTTGCAACATCACTCTATTTTACTTTCTACATAGCATTTGTGTCTTTCTGAGATTGCCTGCTCATTATTATCTGTCTTCTCACAGCATATAAGCTCCATGAAAATAGTGACCTCTATAACTCAAGTGCCTAACAGAGAGTTTTTTTAGGCACCGAATATGTACTTGAATATATGAAAAACTAAAAACATTTTTATGGAGATAAAAATACTTTTTTGGATATTGGAATTTTATGATTGCATGTTGACTGACTTAGTTATGTCTTTAGGATTAGCAAACTCTCTGATGACTTTCAATTCTCAAGAGAGTACCTAGAGCTTGACATACTCAGAGAGCATTAGAGATCCTTGTTCTCAAAGGACCCTGTAATGCAGTTCAAGAACTAATTACAAAAGAGCCTCATGGAGTTGATTTTTTTATAGAGAAATATGACCTAACTAACAAGAGTCCTATCCTAGACAGCTGTTCTTTAACTTTTATATTGAGACCAGGTGGAAGGGAAAGACTATGCATTTTTTCCTTTTGAAGTCTTCCTGGTAGAAAGGGCATCAATTGACTCAGACATCTGCTGGAGGATAACTGGTCTGAAAGAGATTTGCATACTTTAGTTGAGATGCTCTGTTGTGCCTTCTGTTAAAGAATACTATGAAAAATTTCCTATTGTCTATTTCTAGAACTTAAATCAGTGGGAAGATTTGATATCCTTACCTAAATTAATGTTTTGCTCTGTTTAGTATCAGTCCATCATGTGAACTCATCTGGAGGCTTTATCTATGTAGAAGAGCAAATGTATTGGAAATCGCAATTTCTACCCCTGAATATAGGCATGTATGGATTGAATGTTTCCAGCTACAAAAAAAATAGATATTCCAGTAGCTTTATTCATCAATATTTCGGACAGAATTTTTCATTCTATAAATTGACCTGTTTTTCCACTAATTTACTAGAAGAATAAGTAGAGAAAACTGCAAATTGGTGCAGAAATAAGTGATGTGATTTTTGCCTGCTGGTATCCAACATTCATACTTTTCCTGATAAAAGAGAACCAGCTAATCTTCCATTCTCAATACTTATAGTTTTCAGGAGTTGATTCAACTCTCATATCCAGAAATAGGACTTGATTAATCTAAAATAATCACCAGATCCTCACTCTGAAATTAGCACATAGAAGAAAACAGAGACAATATTACTTTGATCCTGAACCAAATCTCATTTGAAACTAGTCCTATCCCTGGATTTTTCAGTTATATGAGTCAATAAATGCCTTTTTTTGCATTAAGCAACTGGGTGAGTTCTCTTCCATCTGGAACTAAAACATTACTAAATAATAGACCAGTCCACATGCTTTATGTGTAATACTACTTCCCCAAAAACATTATGTTTAGGACCAAGGACGATCTAGAAAATTAAAATAGATGTATCTCAGGACTTTGGAAGATTCTCTGTGAAGTAAATGTGAAGTGTACAGATATCAAGCACAGTATTCCCCACTCTCACAAAAAAATTACATGCTCTTAAAATATTTAAACATGAGAAAAACACAAATAAGAGATAAATAACATCCCTAGACAGAGATAAATAACACATCTATTCATCATAGAGGTGATAAATAAGATAATAAAAAATGGAAATAGTGAAAAAAATTTGCTGGCTTAAAATAATCTCACTAAGTATAAGGCAAAGATGTTACACAACCATGTACAGCTAATTACAAAGATCAGGACTTTGCACATAAAGCAACAGAACAGTGTTTTATTAGTTTTTAAGACATATGATCATTTAAAGAGAAAGTCATGAAGTAAAATACTCTTTGGCATTGACACTCTAGGATAAGACCACTTGGGGAGAAGGAATTCTATCTATTAGTGAAGGGAAGGCCTCCCAATCCTTGATTACAGCCAGGCCCAGGCAAACAAATGGATGAATACCTTGTGATATATTCATAGCTGCTTTCACCTCAAAATTACAAGCTCCTTGAGGCAAGATTTAGTCAAGGGCATTGTCATATCCTCAGCACCTTGTTCAGTGACTGGCACAGAGGAGATACAGAATAACATATGTGATGAATAAATGAGTAAATGGACTGTTTAGCTCCTACTAAATTTAAGAGATTGTCAATTTGAGCTTGTTTGTATCTTCAGAATTTTAGGTCACCAAAATAATAAATACCCTTTAGAAACTTCTTTGAAAAATTCAGAATAAACTGCAGAGTTGCATATTCCATCTCCGAAGAAATACTCATTGTTATATGGGCCATGTCCATTTCTGATAATTCTGCTATTTGAACATCATCCCAGAAAAAGAGTGAAACTGCCTATTAAAATAGCCATCTAATCTACATCCAACATTCCTGAAATATGCTGAGTAAATAAATAAGTAATAAGTGAAAATATTCTGTAACTTCCTAATAGGAACAAAATTCACATAAACTAGAGCAGCAATCAGGTATCTTCAATAATAAATATTTATAATATTCATTATTTTCTCATGCAACTTAATGTTTTTTCTTTTTCATTTGGAAAATGCCTAAATGATGTACATTTTCTAAAAGATAAGATGTATTTTTAGAAGCAAATTTTTTACTAAGAAGCTAGCACTTTTTCAACTCCCTTTTGGGAAATAAACTGAAAGAGTATATTACTAAAATATATAAAAATGTTGTCCCATAATTGTAAATGCTTTTAAGAAACAGAAAACTGCTTGGAATTCTTAAGGCAGGATTAAATTTAGTGCAGCAAAATTCAAAATGCCCTTTGAACCTCCTGCTTTTTATTTTCAGAATATAGCCAAAGTGACATATAAAGGTTTTAAGAAGTAATTTCCTTTATCATGAAAAAGCAAAACTTTTTGCATCTTCCTGTAAACAACTCAAGACTCTTTGCTCTAGTCTAGGCCTAATTCATTTAGACTCTTCAAATCAGTTCTGAGCCTGGACTTTTAAAAGGACCTAGTAAAAACTAAAATTAATAGAGTAACTTTCTAATAATATTAATTTTAATAGAAATGTATTTCTATAGCTTCTTAGAGTTCAGGTAAAGCTTTCCTATACCTTATCTAATTTGAACTTCTAAATAGCCTATGTAAGAGTCCTAAGAATGGCTCTGTTGACCATTTAAACAACTCATTCAATGTCTCATAGCTTGTAAGAAGGAGACTTCATGAAATTTTCATAAAAAGCTCTTTATGCCACAAAATACCCTACATATGTGAATGTGCATATCATGAAGAACAGATATTGCCAATTTTTATTATATCTGACATGAAGAGAAAATGCATTATTCATAGCAATCCATAATAAGATATAGCTACAGAAATGGTGCTATTTATGGTGCAATTAGTAATTGATCAAATTATTTGTTAACAAGTAAATCATGTTAATTGGTGCATAACAAACTACCTCAAAACTTAGAGGCTTAAAACAACAATTTTCAATTACTTGTGAGCAATTGCTCACAAATCTGCAATTTGGTCAGGTAGTGATGATGTGGACAGACTGTCTGCTCCAGCAGCTTCAGGTGAGATGGGTCAACTGGGGATCGGAGGATCTACTCTTAAGATGACTCACTCACATAGCTACCAGGTTGGAGCTGCCTGTTGGCTAGGAATTCAGTGAGGGCAGTGGGTCAGCTGCACTCTTTCTTTCCCAGTGGTCCTTGGGTTGAGTTTCTTTATGGAATGATGAATAACTTCAAAGAGCAAGAGTCCCAAGAAAGCTAGGCAAAGGCTGTATCAACTCTTATGACGTAGCCTGAGAGGTCATACAGAGATCATGTACACCATGATCATAAGCCTACCCAGATTGTGACTTGACAATACCAAATAAAAGCTTGGAGTATTATGGTAAGCACATCTGTGAATTTCCCATGCCTTTTTATCAAGGAAACACAAACTTTTCTAGACACTACTAAACAGAGGGAGGAAGGCGGAGAGAGAGGGAGAGAGAGAGAGAGAGAGGGAGGGGGAAGAAGGAGGGGAGAGAGACAGGGAGAGAGAGGAAATGTATTCTTACTGATATTTAAGAATGCTAGAGTAAAAAGTAAATTGATATGACAAATTTAGACAATTGTATAAATTAGTGTGTGTATGTGTGTGTGTGTGTGTTTAAAACTTCTCAGGAATGGAGAAGAATCTAAAGTCATGTGCATAAATGATGCATTAGATATATGCATTGAGTTCCCTGAAATTTCCCAAAAGATACTCTTTCCTGGGGGTGATCTATCTCATCTTTAGGCAGCCTTATTTCCTTGCATTATGGATACAAAATCCATCATTCTGCAGCATTCACACGCTTATCTTAGTTTCACACAAACAAATATTGAGCACCTACTAATTTTCAGTATGCTGGTTCAAGTACTAGATTCCATATAGAATATGATTCATTCCTTTTATATATGACAACTCTTTAAATATTTGAATTGATGAATGAAGATTTTTGTGCAGCCATAACTTTGAATAAAGATTCCATGGATAGATTCCATGGAGATTCACTTAGTTCTCAAGTGAAATAAAATATAAGCATGTATGAAAATGTACAATGATATTTTAATAATATAATATATAATATAATAATTATGTTTATAATGGTGTGAGAACTTCAGTGAGATTGAATTTTGAAATGTTTTATAATTACCATTTATATTAAATTATTTTAATTTTCTTAAATTAGGAATTAGTAGGAATAATTCCCTTTTTACACTTGATTCTTTGAGTCAAAAGTTAAATTAAGGCGCTAATATATTTACAGTATTAAAATCAAGTATATATATTCAATATTTTATAATAAAACAGCATTGTTAAGTTTCAGTAGAAACTAAAATAATTAGCACTCTTGCCTTCTGCAGCAATGCTGGGTGCTGGTTGACTGCACATACTTCTAGATTTCTAAATAACCTCCCATTGCATTTAATTTGAATGTTGTTCTGACAGCTGTAATCAAACATAAAATGTTAGCAGTATAAAACAGACTGAAACCTTCAGATGATTTTCATAGTATTCAGTATTGTCATAAACAATAAGCTTTGTTTGCAATGTTCACCCTGGTCCTACCTCAACCCCACTTAATGCTTTTCAAATGAAATGGAGTTACACAATAAAAAGCTTGTTAAAATATGATTAATTAACTTCCATTTCTTCTAACAATAGGATCCTCCTATTCAAAAATGAAAAACAAGTGAGAAATATCCTTGCTGAACAAATTAGGCCAGGAAATCTCTTTCACTAAATACAAAAGGAATATAAATTTAGCACTCAGGTATTCAAATGGAAAATATATGCCTGTTGATATACTGCCTATCCTGACTGAAATACTTACACAAAGGCTATAGTAATAGGAGATTAGGCAAGAATTCCATTATGCTTTATTTCTATGAAATCAGGCAATCAAGTGTGCTTGACACAGGTATACTTTTGTGGGCTCTATCTTTACATACCAGGTGGCTAACTGTCATGCATGGCTTAAAGACATCTGACAGTTTCAAACTACTATGTTCTAGTGAGAAGTTTTTGGATCCTTTACCTTAGCAATTTAATGTTGGGACAGCTCTTACTTATTGGTAACAGCACTCACCAGAAACACTGTAATCACACTTGGAGCTATACAAAGAATAGAATTCTGAAAGTCTGCTTTCTGCTAATAGCTATGATTGCTTTCAGTGTTTGGTACAGACTCAGAGGCATTCAGAGCCAGTAAGTGTTCAATGTCTGAAATAGAACCAAAGGCATTTGATGCTTCAGCGATCTGAGGGAGGACAACAGGCTGGGGTTTATGTGAACAAAAAAAACTCTTCAAATGGATGAGCTTTAGTAAGCACAGACCACTCCAGTCATCTTTGTATCTCAAGCACTGAACACAATGCCCTACTCAATAAATGTCTTGCTCTTATTGGGACTTCCCATCACCATGGATACCATATTAAATATAGAAAATGTTCATAATTTCTGAATTGTTTTCAGACATATATAGAAAATAGCTTGCTATTTCTAAGTGTCTTTTATGTTTGTTTGTTTCCTTAATGTAAAGCATTTCCTTTTATTCCAGTGGGTATAAAACAAATGAAAGGGCACCAAAAAAATTCGTAAGAGTTGAACAGCTCTCAATAAATCACTGGGAAAAAAAAAGGCTGAGAAAAGTAATGGGAGGCTACTTTCAATGGATCAACATTTTTATCTTGAGCATTATACCAGATGAGGGGCTTTTTGTTTTGTTTTACTCTCCACTTTGTTTATTATAAACAACAATAATACAGCTTATCATCTAATATCTGACATTTGGTCATCTAAATAAATAGGGGAGACATATAAGAATAAAAGTGAAAGACAAGTTCAATTACTACTAAGTTCAGCTTATGTTTTAAACTTCCTTCTAAATTTATTTTAAGCCAGAATTTCTAATAAAATATGCATTAATTATACTCTTTACCCATTCACAGCCAATACTCTAAATTTTAAAGACAAGTCTAATATTGCAGAAAAACGTGAAAAGAAAGAAAATCACAAGCAAGCGATTAAAAGTCAGCTGCAATACTACTTCAGAAATAATCACTATAAAAATATTGTCAAAGCAATTGACAAATATTCATTTATTAAGTCACTGTATGTAAAGCAAATAGTGCAATGCACATAAGATATGCTCTATAGATCTTGGTTATTTTGCATACTATATTTTCTGTTTGGTAAGCAACATTTTTCACTTAAAAATATGTCCTGAATTTTACTTCATGTCATTAAATATCTTGCAAAAACATCATATTTAATGTTTTTTTTTTTTTTTTTTTTTTTTTTTTTGAGACGGAGTCTCGCTCTGTCGCCCAGGCTGGAGTGCAGTGGCGGGATCTCGGCTCACTGCAAGCTCCGCCTCCCGGGTTCACGCCATTCTCCTGCCTCAGCCTCCCAAGTAGCTGGGACTACAGGCGCCCGCCACTACGCCCGGCTAATTTTTTGTATTTTTAGTAGAGACGGGGTTTCACCGTTTTAGCCGGGATGGTCTCGATCTCCTGACCTCGTGATCCGCCCGCCTCGGCCTCCCAAAGTGCTGGGATTACAGGCGTGAGCCACCGCGCCCGGCCCATATTTAATGTTTAAGAGCAGTCCATTATATAAATATTCCTAATTTTATATAAGTCAACTGAATGGAAATTATGTAGAACATTAAAGAGCTGAAAAGACACCATGGTAGGGAAAAGGGGAAAAAACCCTACAGGGCAATAAATAATCAAACATCATGATAAATGACAAAATAACTGAAAATTGATCTAGATCTAGATTTTTTTTTTCTATTTTGGAGAATGAGTTGGTAGAAACTTCCTATTTTGGTCAGGTCAGTTTGAATGACTCCTCATTGTTGATTACAAATGTCTAAATAACATTCCCATCTATGCTTACAATGTCAGCTTCCCTATTAACCTTCGAAAATGATTTGAAGAAAAAGCAATTCAATCATTTCTATTTTGTACCACCAAAAAAAAAAAAGAGAGTACTGCTTTGTAGTATGAAATAAGTTTCATCTTGGTTCTCAAATTCATTGTATTTTATTTAATATGAGAAAACATTAAAAGCAATAATTGTACCCTACTTTACTGTATAGCCTCAGCTACTTTATTAACACCAAAAGTAGATGTTACATTTTTAATTATTTACCAAAAAATTAAGTAGATGACAAATGTGTGTAATAGAGCTTTCTGTTTTTCTCAAACTGCAACTTTTATTGGGTAAATTTCCTGTGGATAATTTCTGCTCATTTAAGCTTATTTTTCTTTGATTTGCTACTCTGATTTGCTTAATGAACTGGGCATTTGCTGTGTTCATAACTGTACAAATCATGCTTTAATCTTTACCGCTCTTCAATAGATCTCAAAATGCATCACTACTTCTAGCATTGGCCATCTATAATTCTAGTCCCATTTTTAAGGCTAGGTTCTTATATACCCAACATTTGTAATAAAACTGGAAGAGAACTCACGGGAGAAATGGAATTGGCACTGACCACTTTAACATTTCTTGGAGCAGTGAATCTATGTGAGAGACTGACAATGTACATTATGGCACTGTACCTGAGGGACTAATTTCTAATGATGTTCTTTTGAAAATAAATGCAAAAAAACTACATCTAAATTTGAGGGTCAACAGAAATTAAATTGAATTTCTTCTATCTCAGCACTTGAAACTCCCTGATGGGATTTAAGTGTCCACCATTATTGAGGGATAACTTCCAATTTATAAGCCAGACACTTTTGTCATTAAAAATATCTGAGCTATAAACAAGTATTGAGATATTGCATCTTAAATATGAATATTATTGTAGGAACATAACACCAAGTATCACCCTTCTGATTATTATGGATGTTCTTCTCCATCCTACAATCCAAAATTAGCTTGGTCAGTACTAGATTCTCTATCCCCATAAACTCTTTCTCTCATGTATTATTCCATAACAGCCAATAAATCTAGATCTGAATTAAATCAATCATCCATCTTTGGTGCTATACTCCTCTCTGCTTTTATTTTGCAAAGAAATTGTGAATGGACAGAAATCAACTGAATCTGTGATTTTATTACTTCAGCAATGGCAGATTAGCCTAATTGAGAGTCACTCCTCTGGAAAGAACACTTGAAAATCTTGAAAAATTCCAAAAATTTTAACCACGTAAAAACATGTGATTGAAAATATTAAAGTAGTAAAAACTTGAAGAGTAAGAATCCTATAGAGAAGAAATGCCCCAAAAAGTGTGCACTATGTGCAATGCTTTTCCTCTAAAAATATTAGGGCCTTAACCATAGCACCACAAGCATCTTGGATTTGATAATTCTTCGTTATGTAGGGCAGTCCTGTGCATTACAGAATGTTTAGCAGCATGGTGAGACTCTATCTTCTATACACAAGTAGTATATGACAGTTGTGGCAATAAAAAATGTCTCCAGATATTGTCATATGTCCCTTGACAGGCAAAATTTTCCCCAGTTGAGAACCTCTGCTGTGGAGGCATTTGATGATTCAAAAGAAGCATCTGAAAAACTTGGCAGAACTTTTGTTTGGGCAGTTACTTTGGGCTAGAGCACAAACTTTGCTGTTCAGGACTTTCAAAATAAGCTGTCAGCTTAGAAGCCTAAAAGGTTACCACATAACAGTAAACGTTAGCCAGAAATAGAGAATGACTGAGTAAGACCCAATTTTGAGTCATTGCCATCCTTGATTGGATTAAAATAATCTATCCCAGTCACAACTGCCTGAAAGAGGCAAAAGTTAATTCTTTTTGAAAGCAAATCATCTCTAAAAGAAGATAATATCATCCAGAGCCTCGAATATATCAACAAGTTTTTATACACATTCAATTTTTCAAAAGGCATGAAAGAAGACAATAACCAACCAAGACAGAGTCTATCAAAATAAACTAAAGGAATTTATAGGCATTGGCTTAACAGATACAGGCTTAAAATTATATGTATAAGAAATGAAGTTACAAAATAATTAAAAGACAGAACTGATAATGTCAAAAATTACAGAATGAAATTTATGTTCTAGAGCTGTAATAAAATAAAAATAAATTAGGAATGTAATATATATTTAAAAGCAGATTAGACACTGTGGAAGAATGTGTTTTTGAACTAGAAACTAGTTCAAACAAATACAAACTGAAGCACAGAGAGACAGAAAATGAGAAATCCAGAAAAGAGCAAATAACATACAATTATGGGATAAAAGCACATGTACCCTAAAACTTAGAGTATAATAAAAAAAAAAAAAAAAAAAAAAAAAGCTTAATGCATGTGTAATTGGAAGACCAGAAACAGAAGAGAGATAATGAGGAAGAAGTGATATTTGAAGATATGATTTAGAATTTTCTAAATATAATGAAAAGCAGCAACACATGAATTTAAGAAGTTTTATAAATTCTAATCCTCATTAGAATTTAATAGGAAATAAAGTATACATAGGCACATTATAGAATACTGATGAAAATCAAAAACAAAGGGTAAACTCAAAAGCAACTCGAGAAAAGAGGTATTAAAAATGGAGGAATAAAACTGACTTCTCATTATAAACAATGGAGACTAGTAGACAATGGAATGATAATGCTTTGCCAAGTTCTAACTCTATACTCAGTGAAAATATCCTTCAAAAATAAAGCCAAAAATATTTTCAGATAATACAAAGTATATATTTTAGTTGCCATTAGCATATTTGCATTAAAGGCAATACTTAAAGGTGTTTGTTAGACAGAGGAAAAGTGATCCTAGATGGAAGCTTGAAAGTTCAGGAGAGAACATAGAGCAACAGAAAGGAGAAATAGTTGACTAAATTTAGAGGAATATAATTATATACAGAATGATAACAATCAATCTTGTGGAGTATATCAGTCAGTTCAGGCTGCCATAACAAAATACCATAAAATGGGTGGCTTAAACAACAGAAATTTATTTCTCACAATGTTGAAGGCTGGGAAGTCCAAGATCGAAGTGCTGGCAGATTCAGTTTCTGGTGAGGGCTCTCTTTGTGGGTCACAGATTGCCAGATTTTCACTAAATTCTCACATGGCCTTTTCTTAGTGTATAAACATGGAGAACGTAATCTCACTTTCTTCCTCTTCTTATAAAGCTAATAACCTAATCATAGGGGTCCAAACCCCATAAACTAATCTAATCTGGATTATTGCCCAATTGCCCCATCTTCAAAAACCATTTCATTGAAGGTTATGTCTTCAACATATGAATTTCAGGGGATCCAAACATTCAGTCCATAACATGGGCTTTAAAGCATATGTGAAATTAAATTACATGACAAGAATGTAAAAAAAAAAGGCAGAAGCAAAGTATAAATGCCATGGGTTATACCTTCTTTACATTATCCAGGAAATGCAAATGTATTAATTTATATGTCACATATGTTTCAATCTATAGACTAACCACTAACAAGTTAAAAGAGAAAGAAAATAAAATAGTTCATCAAAAAGATGGCAATGAAAGGCGAGAAAATGTAAATATATTTCATTTGCCCTATATACATGTGATAGGGCAAATTAAATATAAATAGTAAAATGATAGTTTCATTTTTAAACATGTCAGCACTCATAGTAAATATAAGCTGGCCATACCATTAATTTATTTAAAAATATTTATCAAGTGCTTGTTATGTAAGTTATTCTATAAGATGACTGCCTATTACAAATAGGTGTAAAAACCTCAGATACAACTATGCTACAGGCAATGCAATATATTTCTAATAATCCCCTGGGAAATCTTATTATGCACACAAACATATTTTTCTCTCCATTTCGGTCTAAATTATTCTTGACAGATTTACCAATAATATTTTAAATAATACAAATGACAGAGTTGTCTTATATAATCTGATGAAATGCCACCATCTTCACCTCAAATTTTGTCTTTTTATTTCCTTTCCTGCCTCCTCCTCAAAATGTCCTGAAGACATTATTCTCTTTCAAATTCATCCACACGTGTTCTGCCTCTCAACTCTGCTCTGTCAACAAGATATTTCCATCATATTTCTTCTTCCTCCACATTTTTAAGTTATTAAATATATTTGTGTGGAAAGGTAAATACCAATGTTCAAGACCCAGTTCAGACCAATTAAATCAAAATCTCTAGGGCTGGGGCTGAAGTGTTGGTATTTTTAAAGCTATCAGCTAAAAGGTGGCTTAAGGGAGCATTCTGTGATGTTGCAACTGTGTATTTTCAACTGGCTAAGGTTACATGGGTCAATGCTTTTGTAAATATTCACCAAGCTGTATACTCAAGGGGGCTATGCACTTTATATAAGTTATAGCTTAATAAAACTTTTTTAAAATCCAAGTCATCCCAATGTTTCTAATGCACAGCTATATATATATATATATATATATATATATTTTTTTTTTTTTTTTTTTTTTTGAGACGGAGTCTCGCTCTGTCGCCCAGGCCGGACTGCGGACTGCAGTGGCGGAATCTCGGCTCACTGCAAGCTCCGCCTCCCGGGTTCAAGCCATTCTCCTGCCTCAGCCTCCCGAGTAGCTGGGACTACAGGTGCCCGCCACCGCGCCCGGCTAATTTTTTGTATTTTTAGTAGAGACGGGGTTTCACCTTGTTAGCCAGGATGGTCTCGATCTCCTGACCTCATGATCCACCCGCCTCGGCCTCCCAAAGTGCTGGGACTACAGGCGTGAGCCACCGCGCCCGGCCCTGCACAGCTATATTTAAGAGCTATTAAAGTAAAAGGGAAAAAGAAAGGTTGACAAAAAGATTTGGGTGGTGAATATAAACAAGAAGGAAAAAAATATATAAAATTCATAGAATATGCTTTATCATATAGTATATAAATACTTGGGGAATTATTAAAATTAAATATGGATTTATGAAGAAAAAAGTGGTTAAGAAGAAATAAACATAGAATAGAAAACTAAGAATCAAAAATATAATTGATGTTCAATTATATCTTGGGTAGAGCTGACTGCTCTAGGATTAAGATGAGTTTAGTTTCCAATAAGTTTCAAGAATCATAAAATTACACAAATAAACATGCCTTGAAGATATTTTGAGAGTTAAGAGTGCCATTTGAATGCCACTAGTTGAGTTTAAAGATACAGATTTGAACATTTTCAAGGTTTACTTGGATAATTTCTCCCAAATCATTGATAGAGCAATAAATTTCCAGATGTTTAAGATTAAACCTTGAGTACAATCATAATCAATACCTGAGAAAAAAAAGAGGATTAAATTGAAAAGAATACAAGCAATATATATAAAGACAAAAGAGTATCTGTAAACTTAGACTCATGAAACTAAAGATAAAAATAGTTTTAGAGGCAGAAAGTAACTGCTTGTATCAAAGGATGTTGAGAGATCCAAAGTAAAAAAATTAGAAAAGATCAATAAATTGTTCCAGAAGGATGTCACATAAAAATAAGTAGTTCTGTAATCTGAAAATGGAAGAGATCAAATTGCAAAAGACTTTTAAGAGAATCATAAGAAAATGAATCAATTGTACATTAAGAAAATTGTTACTTAGATGTTATGTGTTTTAGGAAAGAAATAAAATTAATAAATATAGAAAATGATAATAACTGCAGAAAGAACTGAAGACCAACAGACTTGCAGAATGTTTAGAATTATATGTTAAACACATTTAACATCTAATATATAATATCACCCATAGTAATTGTTTAATATGTGTTAATGAATACTATGAATACTGGACATAATTAGAAAGCCCTTGTACATATATTTCTATTATTGTGTGGGTATTTGTTTTGAGCAGGAAGGAAGATGAGAATCCTTCAACAAATAGCAATGTCAAGATTGTATTATTATAGACACTTTTTTCAGGAAAATTTAAATTTAAGAGAGAACATTGGGCAAATTTGCTAATATTTTGCAAATAGAGCTTCACGTATTCTTATAAGCTTTCATTAGTAAGACTCAACTGGTCTTTTTTCATAGTCCAATTTCTATTTCCTTATTTGTAGTCAATTCTATACATAGGATCATATTACTGAAGCTTTGATAAACTGCCTTTGAAACTACTAGTCATGAAAGAATTGTAAGACTCAGTAACATTCAAGCAAAGAAAATTTCTAAGGTGGCACTGGGTCAAAGTTAAAGACTTTTCAATCTGTTGAGTGTTGACAATTAACATATAAATAACCCCTCCATTTCAAAAGCTACTGTGTGTGTGTGTGTGCGTATGTGTGTGTGTGTGTGTTCATTCCTCAGTTTGCCCTCAAGCATATATTCAAGTCAGTATGGAAATTTTTAAGAGTGTTCTTTGTCATTTCTTAACTGACACAGCTCATGCTAGCCTGGTTTATATTCTCAACTATGCATTGACACCAAAGACACTAAAGTGGAGTGATGCTAATTCCTGTTTTAAACAGTTAAATTCCAACTCAGTAGTGCACAATGGCTAACAAAGAAGGTCTTTGAGTATTGACATTCTAGATGGACAAACAGATGCAAATTAAGTGATTTACCAAGTATCTCACAGAATATTAACAAAGCAATAGTTATTATCATCTTCTATTCTTTAAATCCCATTGACTTCCACATGTCTTTATTAGTGTTCTTAAAACCCACAAAGGTATTTTTATATAGAACTTAAAAATACATAAAAGCATAAATAAGAACATCTGAAATTAATCTGATTCCCATTATTCAGATATCATTATAGCACTTACATTTTTTACATCTTTCTATGCATATGAAATCACTTTTCTTATCACACTGAATGTGCTTCAAATGCTAATGTATTGACTGAATAATTTTATAGGTTATGATGGGCCAAAATACATCCAATTCCTTATTTTACAATTTCCAAATTTTACTCCCATAAACGGCCTTGGAAAGAACTTCCATTTGCAAAAAAAAAAAAAAGAATGTAGTATCCTTAATTAATTTTAGTAAAATCTTCTAGAACTGGGATTATCAGGTTAGTGAATGAGAGTACTAGCAGTGGTCGTGGTACAAATCACTCTTCAGAAATGTCACGTTGTTTTTCTTTTCTACCGGAATACAGAAAGGCCCATTTCACTGTGCCTTTCTGTAATTGGAATGCTTTACTTAAAATAACATGTGCTTTAATTAGCAATAATACAAATATACTAATATCTTAACATCTTTCATTAAGGAAAAATGTTTCCAATATGTATTGACTACCTGGTTTCTTCTTCTTTTTTTTTTTAATCTATTTTCAAAATAATTTTATTGTGGTAGAAAACTCATAACTTTAAACTTACCAACTTCTTTTGTGATTATCTGGACTGGACATGTCTACCAACAGGTAATATAGCAATCTTAATTTTCCAAGTTTGGTTGTTTTTTAAAAATTGGATGCTTATTTAATTTTATTATGATTATTTTTAATTGTTATGGATACATAAAAGGTGTATATATTTATGTTGTTATTTATCTGAATAGTGAGATTTAGGGAGACTATATCTGAAGATGCTAGAAAACATTGGTTTTAAAATGGTAACTCTAGTAGATAAGCAGCAGAATGAGCAATTTAATGGGAAAATAGAAATAAATTTTCAAGATATAAACATTTTTATTTTCATTTTACTTTTTAGTTTTTTATTTCAAATCAGCTAATGATGTTTTGATATCTTGGGAATGTTAAAACTGTAATATCTGACTAAAAGAGATATATGTAAATATAAGACATGATTATCAAATTTATTCATCTTTTATTGTTTCTAAATTTTGGGGGCTTACTTAGGCTTTCTAACTTCCACTTATGATAATAATGTTTTTTAGTACTTGCATGGTTTATTTTTAAACATTTATATCCTTGATTCATTTGGTGTTTCAGTGAAAGGATGACATATAGGTTCAGTTTTACCTTTCGAAATAAATGACTATCGGATGACTTTAAAACATTAATAATTTAAAAAAACCTACTTGCACTAGTGATTTAATTTATCATATACTGTACTATACTTTCCTAGGTACTTGTGTCCATTTTATGCTTTCTTTTTGGTACCATTGATCTTTCTGATTATTCATATGTAAGGACCATATTGTTTTTATGAGAAGATTTTTATTTTATTTTACATTCTAGGAAGGCCAATTCTCCTTTGCCTGTGTTGCTGATCTTCATTTTTAGGGTTTCTTCATCTAGTCATGATTGTTATTTTTTTTCATTTGATTTTCATATGAACTTGTTTAAATTCAGCGAAATTCTCTTATAATTTTCTAATACCATATTACATTTATATTTTATCTTATGCGGTTGATACCTTTATGATGTTTGATTGTTTTGGCAAAATAATGGGACTTTGTCTTTTACTGAAGTATTTGAAACTGTTTTTTCTATAGGTTTTACACATTTTATTTTAGGTATTATCTTTTTCTATTTTCTTAAAAAGGTATTTTTGTGATTATTGTTTGAATATGTGAAGGGATTTGAATTTCTTATTTTTTATACATTAATACCTTATTGAAATGTTTGTATCAGTTTTTACTCTTTGTGGTAGTTTTATTAAAAATTTCTCTTAAATGTTCTGGACATGCTACTAAATGTTGCCCTCTTTTCTAATTCTTATTTTTCAAATTGATTTTTTATTTTCCTATTGCTTTGGATAATAACTATAATTCAAGGCTAAACATCAGTTTAGACAATAGGATAGAAAGATTATCTTGATTGTAGTGGATAGAGCTCTATTCTTTCTAATGTGTCAGATATTGGCTTTGCAATTGAAGTACATAGATTTTTATCAAGCTTAGAAAGTCACAATATTTTATTTTATTAGTGCTTTATGTAACAAATGGTTACTTTACTTTTTGAAACTTTAAAAATGTATATAATTGTAATCACATTAATGGATATACTGTATTGATATGGTTTGGCTGTGTCCCCAACCAAATCTTATCTTGAATTATAGTTCCCGTAATCCCCACATGTCATGGGAGGGACCCAGTGAGGATGATTTATTCATGGGAGTGGTTACTCTCTATGATGTTCTTGTGATAGTGAATTCTCAGGAGATCTAACAGTTTTATAAGGAGAAAGCCTTTTTCCCCCTTTTGCTTGGCACTTCTCCTTGCTGCTGCCATGTGAAGAAGGACATGTTTGCTTCCTCTTCCACAATGATTGTAAGTTTTCTGAGGCCTCCCCAGTCATGCTGAACCGTGAGTCAATTAAACTACTTTCCTTTATAAATTACCCTGTCTTGGGTATGTCTTGATTACTAGCATGAGAACTAACTAATACATGTATTGAATCTTCTTTGGATTTCTGGAATAAAGCCTGCCTAATCATGCTGTAGTTTTTAGTGTGCTTTTAAATATTTCTAATAATATTTTATTCATTAATAAGTAGGAATGGTCTGAACTTTTCTTATAAAATTTTGACCGGGTATGACAATATCTGCATTTATAAAAAGCATTTGAAGTTTTCCTTTCTAATCTCTGTAGCAATTTAGGTGGCATTAAAATGACCACTTTTTGAATGTTTATTAGAATTTTCCAGTAAAACTCTGCCTGGTTCTTTGTGGAAAGTAGCTCATTGAAATATATATATATATATATATATATATATATATATATATATATATATATATATATATGTGTGTGTGTGTGTGTGTGTGTGTGTGTGTGTGTGTGTGTGTGTGTGTGTGTGTATATATATATATTCCATTCATTGAATTCCAGATAGATAGATAGATAGATAGATAGATAGATAGATAGATTTGATGTATTTTTGCTCATAGAAGCAGAAAAATAATGTATTTTTGAAACGGAAGATTGTCATTCTAGCACTGACTCAGAAATCTACACTTTATTTTAAATATTCCTTTCTAAACTTGTTACCCTAGATAGCATTCACTCTATCAGGGAAAAAATAATCTGTTTTTTAAATTCATTTTTAGTGTGATTTTGAGTTATTCCCTTCACTGAATTCCTGATTATTTTCATAAATATAGGCAAATATCACAATGTTTCTTTCCTCCTTAATGCTTCAAAGGCCTAAAGTTCACTTATGAACCTCAGGAACTAAGTCACAGTTCTCAGCTTCAGGTACATCCACATCCAAATCCAGCCTCAAGTACAGCACATGTTGAAGGTAATACATTTACCTTCTCTTGGTTTGATCTTTTTATTTCATGTATTTTTCTAGTTAGTATCTTGGCATTTAGCACATTCACTACAAAGGTGAAGGAGATACAGGGTTATAACAATTGGCATATAGCAAATTTTCAAAACTATTAGAGACATCTAAAGAAAGAAAAAAATGGAGCAGTCACTTATTGGAAGGAAAGTAGAAGAGTGTATCTGCTTATATGAATTCTATAGTAACATATGCCACAATAAACAACATTCAGCACAATTAGATAATTCCATAAAAAGCTAAGCTAAATTTATTTTCCCGCTATCAAATCTCCATACTTCTCAGATGTGATCCATTATCCAGGAGATAATTAGAAGGCATTTTTCATTCTTATACTCAGACATTAGGTGATGATGAATGGAAGTATTATTTTGTTGACAGCTTTTAGAACTTTAAAACAAAGAGTGAAAAACGGATACTCAGATATTTTAAATGTCAGTTATTTTATTTTCTTCTGCTTCTGATATCTTAAAGAAGTGATAAATAATTCCCAATCTGGAAGCTGTTATTTATTTTTGTCTATTAATTAATTAAAAAAAAACTTGGTGATAGAATTACCACATTGGTGTTCATGTATTTGAATGTTGATATTTTAACTTAAAAAAAAACTTTTCATGTTAGAAACTTCCTTTCCTTCCGCACCTTCCCTGCAAAAAACCACAAATGTAATGTGCCCACGATTTTATAAGGCCCTGATATATTTATACAAAACAACCAAAAGTTTTCTATGCACTTTCCATTTGCTCAAGGCATACTTCTGATTGACACATACGACTTGTTCAAAGCAAAAATCCTTTGTGCTTTCTGAGTCAAAGTCAAAAAGGTATCTCGAAATCAGAGAAGGTGATTGTTTTCAAATTTATGAGTAATGCTTAATACCTTACTATATTATAAAATCCAACATTCATTTAAATAATTTGTATAGTATTAATTGTAATGTGGATACAGAGAAACTGGTCTGTTCCTTAATTCTTGATATAAGGGAAGGATATCATAAGCCTGTGCAGTTAAAATTGTTATTTTCTACGAGGGTTTCCAAATTTCTTACTCATGATTCAAGAATCAGACTGCAGAACAAAAGTAGTGCTGTTTGAGGCCAAAATATTTTCTTCTTTCCCCTTCCTTGTTTTTTTTTTCTTGAAGTTTTCAATTAATTCAGGAAATATTTAATAATCATGTTATGCTTCGCTTGGAAGTATGATGTTTTTGTCTATATCACTTGTGATGCATTCAAATTGTTGTGGATTTAATGACTATGAAATAGTAAATTCTGGTTTAATTTCATTTTACTGCTTAACAAGGTAGCGTATTACGAATAATAAAATGCTTCCAGGTGCAGTGAGTTGAGCTCTCTTCATGTTTATTCTTACAAGCGTAAGTGAACACAAACATTAAGGAATAATTTTAAAATATATCAAGAGTGCTCAAAAACTTTATAAACTTTGAGTTATTCTTACAATAGAACTTTAGCTTAAGTAAGTAGAAACTCATATAATGATTTAAGTATTAGAATTTCCTACAACAATATTTAGATTAAAATTGTTAATAAAATACATGTCCAGTAATAATGGATTGGCTAAGTTAATACTATCTGTCTGAATTTATATTTATATATTCAGTAAAGATCAGCTTAAGTACCATTTCCATTTGAGAGTCTCAGCTTTAAATGTAAAAGCTTGACAAACTCAAACTAATGCCCCAACTAAATGTGTCACTCCAAACCTGATAACAAAGCCCCAGCCACATTGACATTGTTTATGTTCTTTGAACATGCCAAACTTATTAATACCTAGAGCCTTGGCACTCCAGTCACTATTATATTTTCTATTTCCTTATTTTTATTAATGTTATCACTACTTTGAAATGATTCATTTGATTTCTTTCTCTTAATTATCATCTCCTTCTACTGAAATATAAACTATGAGCATTAGGGTATGGCTTACTTTCTTCAAAAAAAAAAAGCATAAGCACATTTCTTGGTATATTTTAGGCACTCAAAAATGTTTGATGAAATAACTAATGAATAAGTAAATTAATACCAAGATATTTAGGGACCATTAAAGCACTTGTAGTAAGTTTCAGGAAAATGATGCATACTGAGCAAAGTGTAGTTATTATATACTAGGCAGAGGGAGAATGAAAAATATATTAATCTGTTAAGAATGATAACCCAAAGAAGTATCAAAGATAATATCGTGTTCTCTATATCATTCCTTGTTTGCTAAATTATTCTGTAAAATGGCTAGTGTTACTTTTCTAATCAGAAAACTAAACACAGCATTTAAAGCTACCATAATATGATGGGAAAATTTGATTAATTAGAAACATTTTTCTTTTTAAATCACTAATGCCTACATGACCCTTGAATATATTACTAGAGCACTTAAAAAATTAACAGAAAAATAACATTTACATAACATAGAAACAAAGATGTGTACATTTTCTTAAAGGAAGTATCTCTTGATAAAAAATTATAAAGACGATCAAATGTTTGTAACCAATAAAAGATATTCAAAATAGGCTGCAGTCAATGCCCAAGAATGTCTATAAACAAAAAAGTTGATGATTTAAAAAACTATTTGTAAGACAGACTTATTATATCATTTTATAAATAAGAAAAAAATACAATGAAAAGACTAAAACATCTTTAAAAAGGATCTTCATTATAAAATATCAACCATCATCATAACTATTATGACATTATGCATCTAATATCCTTGTAAAATGAAATGGCAATTGAGTGTAATTTTCTTGACATGATTAGTTGTGAAATACCATAAGTGAATCACAGATCTAAAAATAAATCCCAATTATCTTTGCTTCTCCTCCAGAGTGCTAGCCACTTAAATATTTCTCATTTTTCAAATTTATATTGAAAATACTATTCTAATAAACATTAAAATTTCCCAAACAATTCTTGCCTAAAATTTACCAGTAGTATTTTTAATGACTTGTGTATATAAACAATGGGTTTCCTAAGTGTTATCACTACAAATTCATTTCAATTATGTTATTCAGCACATCTAATATTACATAGACCATACAATTATGGGCTTATCAAATGATTAATCCGAGTGTAATTTTCAGAACAAAATAATGAGTACACTCTACTTCTGCTTAGAAATATAATTGCACTGTTACTGTGCTCAACTTAGTATCATTAGAGAGAATACACAATAAGCTAAATTAGTAATGACATTACTTTGCTGGCTGAATTTTTTCTTATAAAATTATTTGACACACGAGAGGAATTTATAACTTACATATTTAAATAATAATATTTAATCTTCTGAAAATGACTGGGTTATTTTTATACCACTTTGACATAACTAAAGGCAAAAAAATGAGAAAAGTGATATTAATTTAATTATTTAATGTCATAAAGTGTCAAAGTCACTTTTCATAAAAAATAAAATCTCCAAAATTTTTAAGAAATTAAAGAAATGCATGGTTTCTAAGGCAGACATTAGTTATTCATATTTCAGGATCTTGATCCTACTTGTTTAATATTTCCATTGAAATCCCCTCTCTTGTCTGCAGCCGATCTGGGCACAATGGTTTTGGCATCCATCAATTGGAAAGTTTGCTCAACTTTAATTTTTTAGTCATAATTGTGTAAGCTGAAACAATTGAGATGTCAATGATGTTGGCTATTGTTTGTGCTGTTGTCGGTCCTCTTCAATTAGAGCATGAACAAGATTAATTTTTTCCTCACAAATCAATGTAGACGGTCCGTCCCTCTGTGGTTCATCTTCAACATTGTGTCATTCCTTCTTAAAACAAGTTATCCATCTGTAAAGTGCTGATTTCTTTGAGGAAATTTTCCCCATACACTTTTTGGAAAGCATAAGTAATTTTATCATTCTTCCATCCAAACTTCAACATAAATTTTATGTTTGTTTTGGCTTCAATTTTAGCAAAATCCATGTTGCTTTGATAGGGGCTGTTTTCAAACAGATGTCTTTAGTGTGCCAAACTAGATTCTATTCAGACATGTTATACAAATTAGTATGAGTTTAATTTGGTACAAAACAATTTATCTATGCATAGTTTTTTTAATAATATATATTTTCTATAAACTTTCTGAAGACCCCAACACTTCTCTAACTCCTTTTTCAATTCGTATATAGTTTTCAAATTTATTTTCTATATATGTTATAAATATCACATTGTGTCCTTTTCTGTTTGTTTAATTATTTGGGAATATTTAAGTTTTAAATGATATGAAAAAATGTTATATATTTGCTAATGTACTTAGCATGTCTTGTACTCTTCATTTCTTTGTGTTGGCCCATATTTACATTGGGTAATATTTTTCTTCTGTCTGAGGAAATTTCTTCAACTGTTTTTCATCATAGGTGTTCCAGTAATTATATTCTTGAGTTTTATATATCTGAAAAAAGTATCTATTTCATCTTTCACTTTGTAAGACCTTTTCTTTGGGTGTAGAATTCTAGTATTAGAATTCTTTGTTCTCCAGTACTCTAAAGTTTTTCTCAGTTATCTCTGATCTTGCTTTGAATCTGATGAAAAGTTTTCTGTCATATATTTTTGTTTCTCTATAGATAATCTATCTTTTTTTTTTCCAAGCACACCTTTAAGATTTTATCTTTATAACTGATATTTATTCATGTAATTATGTTTCTTGGCAGAGTTTCTTTTTTCCCATATTTTTAGGTCTTGCTGTATCTTGAATGCTTCAAGGGCACTACTCTGCCCTTGAAACTTTGGGTTTACAGTGTTTATCAAATTGTAAAATTGTTGTATAATTATTTCTCCAAATAATTTTCTGCCACTCCCTCTTTCAGGGACTCCAATTATACATAAAAATAGACTTCTTGAATTTGTATCACAGCTAACTGATCTGTTCTCTTTCTCTCTCTCTTTTCTCACTCTCTTTGCTCTCAATGTTTTATTTTCAACAGTTCCTATTGTTACATATTCAATTTCATGAATCATTTTTTCTGGGGTGTCTAATTGGCAATTTGTCATTAATTTTATGCCAGACATTATTTTTACTTCAGAAAGTTCAACTTGGTTCTTTTTCATATCTTACGTGTCTCTCCTTAAAAAGTTCAACCTTTCCTTTAGCTTTCAGAATATATGAACTACAGTTATAAAAACTGTTTCTGATTCCCTTATCCGTTAATTTTATCATCTGCACCACTCCTAGGACAGGTGTGATTGATTTTTTTCTTCATTCTGGGTGTATTTTTTTTTTTGCTTCTGTGTATGCCTAGTTATATTTCATTAAATGAAAGCTATTCTAAACTTTACTTTGTCAGGTGCTAGATAATTTTCTATCCATATAAAATATTCTTAAGATTTGTGCTATGACATATTTAAGTTACTTAAAAACAATGTTTTTTTTTTTTTAGTATGATTTTTAGGATCTGTTAGTCATTACTAGAATAATGTTTAAAGCTAATTATTTCAACCATTAAAGCAAGGCCTTTCGGGGTTCTCTGCATAATGGTTTGTAATGTGTGAGATCTTCTACTTTCACTGGTGGAAACAGGCAATAGTCCAGGCTTTGTGCTACAAGCTATGCCTGTGAAAACTGAAATGTTCCTCTTGTATTTTTAGGTGGTTCTTTTCCCAGCCTTGGGTAATTTTCTCACACACACATACTGGTCAGTTATCTGCTAGTTGTTCTGGAAGGACCTTCTATAGATATCAGAATTTTTCTTTTCTCCGCTACTCTGCCCTGCAAACCCTACCTACCATTGTCCCTCTAGACTCTTAGCTGTATTTCCTCAACTCAGGGAGTTCACCCTTTCTGCTGAAGTTATTGCTCTTTGCGTTAAGGCCTAGAAAGTCTTATAGCAGTAAGTCGAGCAATTGTAGAGCTTGCTTAGTTTATTTTCCATCTTTCAGGGACTCTATTCTTTCATTGTATAATTTCAAATTTATTGAAAGCCTTGGTTCTTTTGCTTAGGATTTTCTTGGCTATTTGGGCTCTTGTTTGGTTCCATGTGAATTTTAAAATAGTTTTTTTCTAGTTTTGTGAAGAATGTCATTGACAGTTTGATAGGAATAGCATTGAATCTGTAAACTGCTTTAGGCAGAATGGCCATTTTAACAATATTGCTTCTTCCTATCCATGAGCATGGAATATATTTCCATTTATTTGTGCTATCTCTGATTTCTTAGTGTTTTTGTAGTTTTCATTGTAGAGTTGTTTCACCTCCCTGGTTAGCTATATTCGTTGGTATTTCATTTTTTCTTGTGGCAATTGTGAATGAGGTTGCATTCCTAATTTGGCTCTTGACTTGTCTGTTGTTGTTTAGGAATGCTAGAGATTCCTGTGGGTTGCTTTTGTATCCTGAAACTTTGAGGCAGTTGTTTACCAGCTTAAGGAGCTTTTTAGGCTGCAACTATGGGGTTTTCTAGATACAGAATCAAGTTACTTGCAAAAAGTGAAAGTTTGATTTCCTCTCTTTCTATTTGCATGCGCTTTATTTCCTTCTCGTCAGATTGCTCTGGCAAGGCATCCAATACTATGTTGAAAAGAAGTGGTGAGAGAACATATCCTTGTCTTATGCCAGTTTTCAAAGGGAATGCTTCCAGTTATTGCCCACTCATTATGATATTTGTTATAGGTTTGTCATATATGACCCATTATTTTGAGCAAAAAGAACAAAGCAGGAAGCATTATGCTACCCAACTTCAAACTATACTACAGGGATACAGTAACCAAAAGAGCATAGTACTGGTTCAAAAACTGACACACAGATCAACGGAACAGAATAGAGAGCCCACAAATAAGGCTACACACCTGTAACCATCTGATCTTTGACAAAGCTGCAAAAGCACTGGGGAAAGGAATTACCCTCTTCAATAAATGGTGCTTGGATAACTGGCTAGTCATTTGCAGAGGACTGAAACTAGACCCCCTTTTTATTCTATATACGAAAGTTAACTCAAGATTTTTGGATTAAAGACTTAAATGTAAAATCCAAAACTATAAAAACTCTGAAAGACAATCTAGGCAATATGATTCTAGACATAGGCCCTGTCAAAGATTTCATGATGAAGATGTCAAAGGCAATTACAACAAAAGCAAAAATTGGTAAATGAGATCTAATTAAACTAAGGAGCTTCTGCATAGCAAAAAAAAAAAAAAAAAAAAAAAAACTATCAAAAGAATGAACAGACAATCTATAGAATGGGAGAACATTTTTGCAAACTATGCATCTGTCAGAGGTCTAGTATCCAGCATCTATAAGGAACATTAAAAAAAACTATAAACAAGGAGGAGCCAAGATGGCCGAATAGGAACAGCTCCAGTGTACAGCTCCCAGCGTGAGCGACGCAGAAGACGGGTGATTTCTGCATTTCCATCTGAGGTACCGGGTTCATCTCACTACGGAGTGCCAGACAGTGGGCGCAGGTCAGTGGGTGCATGCACCGTGTGCGAGCCGAAGCAGGGCGAGGCATTGCCTCACTTGGGAAGCACAAGGGGTCAGGGAGTTCCCTTTCCTAGTCAAAGAAAGGGGTGAAGGACGGCACCTGGAAAATCGGGTCACTCCCACCCGAATACTGCGCTTTTCCGATGGGCTTAAAAAACGGCACACCAGGAGATTGTGTCCCGCACCTGGCTTGGAGGGTCCTACACCCACGGAGTCTCGCTGATTGCTAGCACAGCAGTCTGAGATCAAACTGCAAGGCGGCAGCGAGGCTGGGGGAGGGGCGCCCACCATTGGCCAGGCTTGCTTAGGTAAACAAAGCAGCCGGGAAGCTCGAACTGGGTGGAGCCCACCACAGCTCAAGGAGGCCTGCCTGCCTCTGTAGGCTCCACCTCTGGGGGCAGGGCACAGACTAAAAAAAAGACAGCAGTAACCTCTGCAGACTTAAATGTCCCTGTCTGACAGCTTTGAAGAGAGCAGTGGTTCCCCCAGCACGCAGCTGGAGATCTGAGAACAGGCAGACTGCCTCCTCAAGTGGGTCCCTGACCCCTCACCCCCGAGCAGCCTAACTGGGAGGCACCCCCCAGCAGGGGCACACTGACACCTCACAAGGCAGGGTATTCCAACAGACCTGCAGCTGAGGGTCCTCTCTGTTAGAAGTAAAACTAACAAACAGAAAGGACACCCACACCAAAAACCCATCTGTACATCACCATCATCAAAGACCAAAAGTAGATAAAACCACAAAGATGGGGAAAAAACAGAACAGAAAAACTGGAAACTCTAAAAAGCAGAGCACCTCTCCTCCTCCAAAGGAACGCAGTTCCTCACCAGGAACCGAACAAAGCTGGATGGAGAATGACTTTGATGAGCTGAGAGAAGAAGGCTTCAGATGATCAAATTACTCTGAGCTACGGGGGGACATTCAAACCAAAGGCAAAGAAGTTGAAAACTTTGAAAAAAATTTAGAAGAATGTATAACTAGAATAACCAATACAGAGAAGTGCTTAAAGGAGCTGATGGAGCTGAAAACCAAGGCTCGAAAACTACGTGAAGAATGCAGAAGCCTCAGGAGCCGATGTGATCAACTGGAAGAAAGAGTATCAGCAATGGAAGATGAAATGAATGAAATGAAGCGAGAAGGGAAGTTTAGAGAAAAAAGAATAAAAAGAAATGAGCAAAGCCTCCAAGAAATATGGGACTATGTGAAAACACCTAATCTACGTCTGATTGGTGTACCTGAAAGTGATGGGGAGAATGGAACCAAGTTGGAAAACACTCTGCAGGATATTATCCAGGAGAACTTCCCCAATCTAGCAAGGCAGGCCAATGTTCAGATTCAGGAAATACAGAGAATGCCACAAAGATACTCCTCGAGAATAGCAACTCCAAGACACATAATTGTCAGATTCACCAAAGTTGAAATGAAGGAAAAAATGTTAAGGGCAGCCAGAGAGAAAGGTCGGGTTACCCACAAAGGGAAGCCCATCAGACTAACAGCAGATCTCTCGGCAGAAACCCTACAAGCCAGAAGAGAGTGGGGGCCAATATTCAACATTCTTAAAGAAAAGAATTTTCAACCCAGAATTTCATTTCCACCCAAACTAAGCTTCATAAGTGAAGGAGAAATAAAATCCTTTACAGACAAGCAAATGCTGAGAGATTTTGTCACCACCAGGCCTGCCTTACAAGAGCTCCTGAAGGAAGCGCTAAACATGGAAAGGAACAACCGGGACCAGCCGCTGCAAAATCATGCCAAAATGTAAAGACCATCGAGACTAGGAAGAAACTGCATCAACTAACGAGCAAAATAACCAGATAACATCATCATGACAGGATCAAATTCACACATAAGAATATTAACTTTAAATGCAAATGGACTAAATGCTCCAATTAAAAGACACAGACTGGAAAATTGGATAAAGAGTCAAGACCCATCAGTGTGCTGTATTCAGGAAAACCATCTCACGGGCAAAGACACACATAGGCTCAAAATAAAAGGATGGAGGAAGATCTACCAAGCAAATGGACAACAAAAAAAGGCAGGGGTTGCAATCCTAGTCTCTGATAAAACAGACTTTAAACCAACAAAGATCAAAAGAGACAAAGAAGGCCATTACATAATGGTAAAGGGATCAATTCAACAAGAAGAGCTAACTATCCTAAATATATATGCACCCAATACAGGAGCACCAAGATTCATAAAGCAAGTCCTTAGAGACCTACAAAGAGACTTAGACTCCCACACATTAATAATGGGAGACTTTAACACCCCACTGTCAACATTAGACAGATCAACGAGACAGAAAGTCAACAAGGATACCCAGGAATTGAACTCAGCTCTGCACCAAGCGGACCTAATAGACATCTACAGAACTCTCCACCCCAAATCAACAGAATATACATTCTTTTCAGCACCACACCACACCTATTCCAAAACTGACCACATAGTTGGAAATAAAGCTCTCCTCAGCAAATGTAAAAGAACAGAAATTATAACAAACTATCTCTCCGACCACAGTGCAATCAAACTAGAACTCAGGATTAAGAACCTCACTCAAAACCGCTCAACTACATGGAAACTGAACAACCTGCTCCTGAATGACTACTGGGTACATAACGAAATGAAGGCAGAAATAAAGATGTTCTTTGAAACCAACGAGAACAAAGACCCAACATACCAGAATCTCTGGGACACATTCAAAGCAGTGTGTAGAGGGAAATTTATAGCACTAAATGGCCACAAGAGAAAGCAGGAAAGATCCAAAATTGACACCCTAACATCACAATTAAAACAACTAGAAAAGCAAGAGCAAACACATTCAAAAGCTAGCAGAAGGCAAGAAATAACTAAAATCAGAGCAGAACTGAAGGAAATAGAGACACAAAAAGCCCTTCAAAAAATTAATGAATCCAGGAGCTGGTTTTTTGAAAGGATCAACAAAATTGATAGACCACTAGCAAGACTAATAAAGAAAAAAAGAGAGAAGAATCAAATAGATGCAATAAAAAATGATAAAGGGGATATCACCACCGATCCCACAGAAATACAAGCTACCATCAGAGAATACTACAAACACCTCTACGCAAATAAACTAGAAAATCTAGAAGAAATGGATAAATTCCTCGACACATACACTCTCCCAAGACTAAACCAGGAAGAAGTTGAATCTCTGAATAGACCAATAACAGGACCTGAAATTGTGGCAATAATCAATAGCTTACCAACCAAAAAGAGTCCAGGACCAGATGGATTCACAGCCGAATTCTACCAGAGGTACAAGGAGGAACTGGTACCATTCCTTCTGAAACTATTCCAATCAATAGAAAAAGAGGGAATCCTCCCTAACTCATTTTATGAGGCCAGCATCATTCTGATACCAAAGCCAGGCAGAGACACAACAAAAAAAGAGAATTTTAGACCAATATCCTTCATGAACATTGATGCAAAAATCCTCAATAAAATACTGGCAAACCGAATCCAGCAGCACATCAAAAAGCTTATCCACCATGATCAAGTGGGCTTCATCCCTGGGATGCAAGGCTGGTTCAATATACGCAAATCAATAAATGTAATCCAGCATATAAACAGAGCCAAAGACAAAAACCACATGATTATCTCAATAGATGCAGAAAAGGCCTTTGACAAAATTCAACAACGCTTTATGCTAAAAACTCTCAGTAAATTAGGTACTGATGGGACGTATTTCAAAATAATAAGAGCTATCTATGACAAACCCACAGCCAATATCATACTGAATGGGCAAAAACTGGAAGCATTCCCTTTGAAAAGTGCCACAAGACAGGGATGCCCTCTCTCACCACTCCTGTTCAACATAGTGTTGGAAGTTCTGGCCAGGGCAATTAGGCAGGAGAAGGAAATAAAGGGTATTCAATTAGGAAAAGAGGAAGTCAAATTGTCCCTGTTTGCAGACGACATGATTGTATATCTAGAAAACCCCATTGTCTCAGCCCAAAATCTCCTTAAGCTGATAAGCAACTTCAGCAAAGTCTCAGGATACAAAATCAATGTACAAAAATCACAAGCATTCTTATACACCAACAACAGACAAACAGAGAGCCAAATCATGAGTGAACTCCCATTCACAATTGCTTCAAAGAGAATAAAATACCTAGGAATCCAACTTACAAGGGATATGAAGGACCTCTTCAAGGAGAACTACAAACCACTGCTCAAGGAAATAAAAGAGGATATAAACAAATGGAAGAACATTCCATGCTCATGGGTAGGAAGAATCAATATCGTGAAAATGGCCATACTGCCCAAGGCAATTTACAGATTCAATGCCATCCCCATCAAGCTACCAATGACTTTCTTCACAGAATTGGAAAAAACTACTTTAAAGTTCATATGGAACCAAAAAAGAGCCTGCATTGCCGAGTCAATCCTAAGCCAAAAGAACAAAGCTGGAGGCATCACACTACCTGACTTCAAACTATACTACAAGGCTACAGTAACCAAAACAGCATGGTACTGGTACCAAAACAGAGATATAGATCAATGGAACAGAACAGAGCCCTCAGAAATAACGTCGCATATCTACAACTATCTGATCTTTGACAAACCTGAGAAAAACAAGCAATGGGGAAAGGATTCCCTATTTAATAAATGGTGTTGGGAAAACTGGCTAGCCATATGTAGAAAGCTGAAACTGGATCCCTTCCTTAAACCTTACACAAAAATCAATTCAAGATGGATTAAAGACTTAAACGTTCGACCTAAAACCATAAAAACCCTAGAAGAAAACCTAGGCATTACCATTCAGGACATAGGCATGGGCAAGGACTTCATGTCTAAAACACCAAAAGCAATGGCAACAAAAGCCAAAATTGACAAATGGGATCTAATTAAACTAAAGAGCTCCTGCACAGAAGAAGAAACTACCATCAGAGTGAACAGGCAACCTACAAAATGGGAGAAAATTTTCGCAACCTACTCATCTGACAAAGGGCTAATATCCAGAATCTACAATGAACTCAAACAAATTTACAAGAAAAAAACAAACAACCCCATCAAAAAGTGGGTGAAGGACATGAACAGACACTTCTCAAAAGAACACATTTATGCAGCCAAAACACACATGAAAAAATGCTCACCATCACTGGCCATCAGAGAAATGCAAATCAAAACCACAATGACATACCATCTCACACCAGTTAGAATGGCAATCATTAAAAAGTCAGGAAACAACAGGTGCTGGAGAGGATGTGGAGAAATAGGAACACTTTTCCACTGTTGGTGGGACTGTAAACTCGTTAAACCATTGTGGAAGTCAGTGTGGTGATTCCTCAGGGATCTAGAACTAGAAATACCATTTGGCCCAGCCATCCCATTACTGGGTATATACCCAAAGGACTATAAATCATGCTGCTATAAAGACACATGCACACGTATGTTTATTGCGGCATTATTCACAATAGCAAAGACTTGGAACCAACCCAAATGTCCAACAATGATAGACTGGATTAAGAAAATGTGGACATATACACCATGGAATACTATGCAGCCACAAAAAACGATGAGTTCATGTCCTTTGTAGGGACATGGATGAAATTGGAAATCATCATTCTCAGTAAACTATCGCAAGAACAAAAAACCAAACACTGCATATTCTCACTCATAGGTGGGAATTGAACAATAAGATCACATGGACACAGGACGGGGAATATCACACTCTGGGGACTGTTGTGGGGTGGGGGGGAGGGGGAGGTACAGCATCGGGAGATATACCTAATGCTAGATGACCAGTTAGTGGGTGCAGTGCACCAGCATGGCACATGTATACGTATGTAACTAACCTGCACAATGTGCACATATACCCTAAAACTTGAAGTATAATAAAAAAAAACTATAAACAAGTCAACTAACAATCCCATTAAAAAGTGGACAAAGGACATGAACAGATAGTTTTCAAAAGAAGAAATATGTGTGAGTAATAAGCATATGAAAAAATGCTCAATATAACTGAACATTAGAGAAATGTAAATCAAAACCATAATGAGATATCAACTCATACCAGTCAGAATGACTATTATTAAAAACCCAAAAAACAAACAGATGTTGGCAAGGTTGCAGAAAAAAGAGAACACTTACAAACTGTTGTTGGGAGTGTAAATTAGCTTAACCATTGTGGATAGCTGTGTGGTGATTCTTCAAAGAGCTTATAACAGAACTGCCAGTTGACCCAGCCACCCCATTACTGGGTATATACCCAAAGGACTATGAATCATTCTATCGTAAGTACACATGCACACATATGTTTCTTGCAGCACTATTAACAATAGCATAGACATAGGATCACTTAAATACCCATCAATGGAACAATGGATAAAGAAAATGTGGTACATATACACCATGGAGTACTGTGTACCCATAAAAACAATGAGACTATGTCCTTTGCAGGCACATAGATGGAGATAGAGGTCATTATCTTTAGCAAACTAACACAGGAACAGGATACCAAATACCGCATCTTCTCACTTATAAGAGGGAGCTAAATGATGAGAACACATGGATACAAAAAAGGGAACAACAGACACTGGGTTGTTGTTGTTACCTAACTGAGGGCGTAAGGTAAGAGGAGCAAGAGGATCAGAAAAATATGTTGGATATTAGGCTTGGTACCTGAGTGACAAATTAATCTATATAAAAACCCCCATGACACAAGTTTACCTATATAACAAACCTACACATGTACCGTGAACCTAAAATGAAAATTAAAAAAAATACTAAAAAGTCTTTGTTTTATATGTTATTTTTTTCTTTTTTACATGTTTTAAAAGAGAAATGTTCATATCTTCTTGTTATTTCATTATTAGAAGCAGAAATTTTCCCCCTTTTATTGAACATTTACAGAATCTTTAATAGTTCTCTCTTCACTCCAGTTTCTGGTGATTAAAAATCTTTCTTTTTAACCAAACATAAAATTCCTCCTATGTTTTCAATAATATTGTCTTCTTCTTAGTCAAACAAAACATATTTCATCATTTAATTTTTTCTTTATTTTGTTAAATATTGCCTTTTCTGTAATGACTCTATCCTCTCCACCTGTTGGTGTTTCTCTTGGTAGTTAATTAGCAATCCTTTTTTTAAGTTATCTCTTAACTTTCTGACTTACATCCCAAAAACTTTTCTAGAAGTTATTAAATGACATCACTATTTATCCTATTTCTGAAATGACATTCTGCAAGAATTTTGATTTTATTACTAGCTCATTGAGTTGGCGAATTTCCAATGCTTTTGTAGCTATATTTAAATATAATATTAGCGTTCCTGTGGCATCCATCAGATATTTCAGGCAAGTAACCATGACATGAATAATGAAATTCTAAGAAAAGAAAGAAATAGAATAATACTCAAGTCAGGGCAAGTATATCACAAAGGCTGGTAGTCCTCTATGAAGTGGGGGTGGAAAGGAAAAAGAATAGTTCTACAGATTTCTCGGTTTTGACAACCATGTTTCTGTTCAGGAAAACTTCTCTATCATCTCTCCAAGAGCTAAGAGATTTAGACTTTGGTTCAAAAATTGTCTAAGAATGTATTAGCATCTTCTTAGTTGAAATAGCTTTTCTATGATAAAATTTTTCCTTTTCACTTTGGACCTTGAAACAACCATATAATTTGTGTTCATATAAACATATATATTCTCCTGAAACTTGAATAATATCTCATTTATTTGAGTTATTTCTACTAATCTTAATGCTCCCTCTTGTGCATCATCAAATGGTACTACACTGTATTTATAAAGTTGCTATGATCAAGGGATTTCAAATGACAGCATTGGGTACCACTGATAAGCAACTGTTCCATATAATAATTGTATTAGATCATTCTCGCACTGCAATTAAGAAATACCTGACACTGGGTAATTTATAAAGAAAAGAGGTTTAACTGGCTCACAGTTACACAGGGGGTACAGGAAGCACGGTGGCAACTGCTTTTGGGGAGGCCTCAAGGAGTTTTTATTCATGGCAGAAGGCAAAGTGGAAGCAGGTATCTTTTTTGTTTGTTTGTTTGTTTGTTGTTGTTGTTGTTTTTGAGACAGAGTCTTGCTGTGTCACCCAGGCTGGAGTGTAATGGCGCAATCTTGGCTCACTGCAAGATCCGCCTCCCAGGTTCACGCCATTCTCCTGCCTCAGCCTCCCGAGTAGCTGGGACTACAGGCGCCCACCACCACTCCTGGCTAATTTTTTGTATTTTTGGTAGAGACGGAATTTCACCATGTTAGCCAGGATGGGCTCGATCTCCTGACCTTGTGATCCACCCGCCTCGGCCTCCCAAAGTGCTGGGATTACAGGCGTGAGCCACTGAGCCCAGTCAGAAGCAGGTATCTTATACAGCAGGAACAGGACCAAAGGGAGAGGGTCTGGAGGTGCCACACAATTTTAAATGACCAGATCTCATGAGAACTCACTATCACCAGAGTGGGGAAATCCACCCCCATGATCCAGTCAATTCCCACCAGGCCCCACCTCCAACATTGGGGATTACAATTCAACATGAGATTTGGTTGGGGACAGAAATAAAAACCATATCAATAGTCTTAGGATACTGGTGAGCAACTTTGGTAAGTAAATATGTTTAGATGAGCTAAGTGCTATTGAAAATAAATTAGTGAATTATGAAAAGATATATGTTTCTTCAAGGGGTTTTTAAACATATTTTTATATTGATGATGAATATAAAAACCAATCTGACTTAGTTTTTTCTATGGTAGTCTCTCTTACTTTAATTTTGTTCTTTCCTCCTTTTTTGTTCTTTTCCCTTTCTACCATTTTATTCATTTCCTTCAGTGCTATTTTCTTGTCCTTCAAATGTTGAAAAATAATATTAAATGGATTTCAGATTTAAAGATAAAACAGATCTACTGTATAATTATAACATTTTGCATTCTAAACTCATTTTGCAATTAGTTTAAATATTATTGAAATTAGTTGTGTTTTACATTTTTATGCAAAATCACTACATTCCATTATAAAATGTCTAATGAACTTTTAAAAATTACTTACAACAGCATTTCCACATTAACAGCAAATCAACATTTATTACATTCATAAGGCAAACCTAACCAATTGCTGTTATTTTATTTCTTTTCACAGAACATAGAGAAGAAAAGTCATTAACTTAGGATATTATGTGCAAAAAGGAATAAAAATATTCTCGTAGACTTAGATAAATATATTCATATCTAATTGCCTCCAGGAAAGAAAAGATTCTGGGTATGTCTTTGGCAACCTGTGTAGATTGCTTTATTCACACAGTATAATGTTCTAAAATATTCCTAGGTTGCATGAATTACTTATTTAGTTCTGACTGCAAGGTAGAATTTAAGAAGGGTACAGAAGACTGGGTGAAGGTAGAAAGGAAGAATCAAATCTCAAGTTAACAAATGGCTGTGTACGAAGATTACATAGCACAAACGATGTCTAGAGAGGGTGTGATAATTTATATGTGTATTAATTCAACTAAAATAACTAAGACCTCATTAAATGGCAGATACCTAATACTGAAGTGCTGTATGATTGATGGCATAAAAAAATACATACTTAAGAAGTCAACTGAGGTTTGGAGTAAGATTTTAGTTTAGGTGCCAAAACTTAATAAGACAGAGAATCCCAAGGAATCCAAGAGGCCTGGAGAGAAAGGGGTGAAGAATAAAACACTTATTAGTTGCCATCCTTACAGGATATTTTATATATGGATGAGTAGGAGATAATAGAAAAAGAAAGAAAATTTTCACTAATGATACCTAAATGCAAAAGAGTAGGAATCATAGTATTCTTTAGGGTAGAATTAGAGCAAAAACAAGGGTAGGTGTGGTAGGATTTTAGAAAAACCTTAGGCTATTAATTAACTTCCAAATAAAATAGTGGAAATATGTCTACTTAAGAAAAATGAAAATAAATAAACCTTAGAGTTTATTATTGTATTTGCTGAGGGAGGTGAGTATGATTAAGATTATTTGTGAATTAAATACAAATTGAAATATAAGTATTTTCAAATCATTTTGATCATTCTGCTTCCCAATGTGAATAAAATATTTAGAAATGTATACTCCTTCAAGTTTAATTATATAACAACACCATTATAGTCCATTTTTTTTCATGAAATATAATGCTGTTTGTAGTTAATAAATTGGATCCTTTAAATAATTTTAAGGGTAATTTTTATTTAATTAAAAAAGAAAAGCAAGGCTGGGCATGGTGGCTCACGCCTGTCATCCCAGCACTTTCGGGGGCCAAGGCAGGTGGATCACGAGGCTAGGAGATCAAGACCATCCTGGCCAACATGGTGAATCCCTGTCTCTACTTAAAATACAAAAATTAGCTGGGTGTGGCAGTGTGCGTCTGTAGTCCAAGCTACTCGGGAGGCTGAGGGAGAAAGGAGAATTGTTTGAACAAGATAGCTGGAGGCTACAGTGAGCTGAGATTGCGCCACTGCACTCCAGCCTGGGCAACAGAGCAAGACTCCGTCTCAAAAAATAAAAAATAAAAAAGGCAGCTAGACTTCTTGTTTCACATTCAATGTGTATAAATCTCAGAAGATGGTACTCTCTTTACAATAATAAAAGCTGGAAACACTGAAAATAAACAACTTAATGGGCCCATGAGAGAAGTGAGGTCATAAAGCAAACAGCTTACCAATATTTGGAGAGACAGAAACAGCTAACCAGAGAACTTGAGAATTATTTGTCTTGAGCAGAAGCAGGAAAGCCACAGAAATAAATCTACTGACTTCAATGGAAAATCTGAGAAATTGCTGAGACTTGAAGGTGAATTAGAATTGGTGAGAAGCTCTTAGGGACAACAATATAAATGAGTCCTCAAATTTCTGTGGGCTTTCATTCCAGGAACCCACTGGCCTTTCAGAAGGATGCTCTGAGAAAATATCCTTATGACCTTGTCAGAAGAAGAAGAGAAACCATTATGAAATTCTTCAGGAGCCTTCATAATAAAGTCTTATTTTCAAGGGAAACATCCAGAAGCTTATCCCACATGGAGAAAAGAAATTACACAACACTATATCTTCTGCATACTTTCTACCTCAAGCACAAAATTAAAATATATATATATATATAAATATATGTGTATATATATATATATATATAAAAATATATGTATATATATATAGTTAATAGGAAATAGGGCTTCAGAAAAATATAGATTGGGAATCCTAAAGCTACAACACGGAATATGAAGCAGGGGAGATAATAGTTGTATCACTGGAAGAGGGGGAGAATTGCTTGAGAAAGTCACACTCCTAAGCCACTATTAGATTGGAAAACTATTAAACCGAGATTTAATCAGAAGACTACACAGTGCTTCCCCACCCCACACCCTAACACTACACAAACAAGATTCAACTATAACAATAATGGTTTGCCATTGAAAGGGCTGCAAGATATACACTCTTTTTGAGAATCAGTGCAAAGAGAAGTCTGGAAACTAAGAAGAAGGGCAAAACGAACAGAGGTATTTGAAGCCTCTCCTATTTATAGCTAAACAGAGCCCAACTCCTAGGCAGATTAACATAAATACTCACATTATGATCTAGTTAACGGCCGGCGCAGTGGCTCACGCCTGTAATCCCAGCACTTTGGGAGGCCAAGGCAGGTGGATCACGATGTCAGGAGTTCATGACCAGCCTGACCAATATGGTGAATTCCTGTCTCTACTAAAAATACAAGAATTAGCTGGGCATGGTGCTGCCCCTGTAATCGCAGTTACTCAGGAGGCTGAGGAAGGAGAATCACTTGAACCCGAGAGGTGGAGGTTGCAGTGAGCCGAGATCATGTCACTGCACTCCAGCCTGGGCAACATAGCAAGACTCCATGAAAAAAAAAAAGATCTATTTAACACAGTACCTGTTATGGATACAACACATCCAACTTTGAAGCAAAAAAGTTATACTGTCTGGAGAAACAAAGAAATAATCTGAACCAAATTCAGATATGACACAGATATTAACATTATCAGATGAGGATTTTAAAATATTTTTTGTACACAGCAGAGAGATAACAGTGGGAAAGAGTCAAAAGAAAATACTAGAAATCAAGAAGACAGAAACAAATGAAGAATCAGTAGATTTGATACAACCAAGGAAACAGTCAGTGAACTGGAAGATCATTAATAGAAACTTTCCAAACTGAAAAGCAAAGAGAAGACAAAAATAATTAAATAAAGGCAAACATATAGAAAATGCAAGAATAGTTGGATTGTTAAAGAATATCAAAAGTTGTATGTAATCATAGTTGGAAAACCAGAAGAAGAAAGAGATAATATGGCAGAAGAAATAGTTCAAGTAATAATAGCAGAGAAGTTATAAAATTGAAGAGAAGACTTCCAGTTTCTGGGTCAGTGTGTAATGAACTTGGAAGTTGCCACTTAATCACAATAACAAGTAAAAACCTGAAGAAACTGAAAAGTCAACAACCCATCTTACATATGAAAAAGAAATGATGGGTAAAGAGAATCATAACTTAACAGAGCAAAAACCCACAAGCAGAAACAGCCATGGGAACCAGTTTGAGGTTAAGAAAATCTGAGTTATAATTTAGTGATTGGGGGAGGCTTATCATGGAGAAGTCTGAGAGCCAAAAACTCTAATGGGGCCCAGTAATCTGAACATCCACATTTTTGTGAGTTTTAGCTCCAGGGGTTCAACCAGGTTCTCACAGTGAATATATACACACACACACACACATATATATATATAAATTCACTCTTAGTTTTAATCTGGGGGGATAAAAATAACAATTTTGAAATATGCAAGAACATTATATTCTTAACAAGATTTTCCCACAGAAGAAGCTATTTAACTTTGGTTAAAGTTAACTTTTGGTTAACTTTTGCTGTTTAACTTTGGTTACTCTTAACCTGCTAGGGTTTCACCAGAGCCTAACTGACCTGGGGGAAGGGAAATACCCCAAACCAGCTGGCACTAGCTTTCCTTGTGGAGGAAAGGAAATACCCATATAAAGCCCACTCTAGCTGAGCTGTACCATGTAAAGATGGGGATTTTTTTTTTTACTCAGTCCATTATTTTTTGCTACCAAGAAATAAATGGTAGCAAAAACAAAAACAAAAAACACATTTTGAAGTAGCACAGCAAATATCACAATCAGACTCAGATATAGCAGGGATGTTGAAATTATCAAACCTAGAATTTAAAACAACCACAATTAATATGTTAAAGGGTCTTAAAACCTAGATGACGAGTTGATAAGTGCAGCAAACCACCATGGCGTATGTATACCTATGTAACAAACCTGCAAGTTCTGCACATGTATCCCAAAACTTAAAGTAAAATTTAAAAAAAAAGATGAAGAAATCCAATACAAAGATATAAAATATATAAATATATTAAGGGGTCTAAAGGATGAAGTAGATAGTGTACAACAACAGATGGACAATGTAAGCACAGAAATGGAAATTCTAAAAAAATTAAGAGGAAATAATCAAAACTAAAAACATCTGGAAATAAAAAGCACTGTAACAGAAATGAAGAATGCCTTTGTAACAGAAATGAAGAATGCCTTTGATGGACATATTAGTAGACTGAACATGTCTGAGGAAGGAATACCTAAGCTTGAGTATATGACATTAGAAACTTCCAAAATTTAAATGCAAAGAGAGAGAAAAAAAACACAAAACCACAAAGGGCAGGAAAAAAGATTGAAAAATAAAAAACAGAACAGAAAACCCAAGAACTGTGGGGCAACTACAAAAAATACAACCTGCAGGTAATGAAAATATCAGAATGAGAAAAGGAAGAAGAATAGAAGAGAAATATTTGAAGCAAAAATGACTGATATTTCTCCAAATTAATGGCAAACACTAAACTAAAGATTCAGAAAGTTCAGAGAGCACCAGGAAGGATAACTGCCAAAAATAAAACATCTACACTTAGTATATTATATTCAAATTGCAGAATATCAAAGATAATGATTTACCAATAAAGGAGCAAAAATAAGAATTACATTTAACTTCTCCTCATAAAGTGTTGAGAGAAAAACAAAAACCCCAACCAGCGTAGAATTCTACACTCTGCAAAATTATTCTTCAAAGGTGAAGAAAAAATAAAAATATTCTCAGATAAACAAAAATTGAGAGAATTTGTTGCCAGTAGACCTGCCTTGCAAGAATTTTTTTTTAAAGGCATTTAGAAAAAAGGAAAAAGATATGGGTCAGAAACTATGAACTACATAAAGAAAGAACATTAGAGAAGACATGTTAAAGTAAGATAATAACTTTTATTATCCTTATTCTAATTGTAGTTTTTAAACATATAACAGTATTTTAAAATAAGAATGATGTATTTAATTATGTATGCTTATGTCTATAAATATATATAAATGTTTATGTATACTGAGGTATACATCAGTATATATATAAATACTTCTGTATACTGAGGTATATACATCAGTATATATATATATATATAAATGCTTATGTATACTGATGCATATGTGAAATTAATAAAAGCAATGATGCAATCAATGAGAGAGAGGAATTAGAATTTTTTTTTGTATAAAGTATCCATGAAGTGTATGATGTTATTTAAAAGTGGACTTGGATTCACTGTAAATATATGTTGAAAACTCTAGAGCAACCACTTAAAAATGTAAACTAAGAACTATAACTGATATGCTAAATAAGCAGAGAAAATTGAATAATATAAAATGTTCAATTAAAACTAAAAAAGGAAGAAAAAAGTGGAAGATTAAAAAATAAAAAACAAGGGCAACAAATAGAAAAGAGTAACAAGACAGATATTTACCTAACACTATCAATAATTACATTAAATATCAAAAGTCTAAATTACAGTGACTAAATTGATTTAAAAAGACTGTCAGAGTGGATTAAAAAAACACAATATGCAACTATATGTTGCCTACAAGAAACCACCTTAAAAATAAAGACACATATAGATTAAAAGTAAATAGATGGAAAGAAATAAACCGTACTTATATTAATTTTATAAAATAGTAGTAACTACATACATTTCAGAGAAAGCATACATGAGATCAGGGAAGGTTATATGGTAAAAGAAGAGCACTACATAATGATTAAAATGATCAGTTATCCAAGAAGACAAAATAATTTCCAGTGTGTATGTGTCTAACAATATAGTGTCAAAATACAACTGTATTAGCCTGTTTTCACACTGCTGATAAAGATATACCTGAGACTGGGCAATTTACAAAAGAGAGAGGTTTAATACAGACTTACAGTTCCATGTGGCTGGGGAAGCTTCACAATCATGGCAGAAGGCAAGGAGGGGCAAGGAGGAGCAAGTCACATCTAGGAAGACAGCAGGAAAACTCCCCCTTATAGCATCATCAGATCTTGTGAGACCCATTTACTATCACTAGAACAGCACAGGAAATACCCACCCCCATGATTCAATCATCTCCCACCAAGTCCTTCCCACAGTGGGAATTATGGGAACTACAAGATGAGATTTGGGTGGGGACAAAGAATCAAACCTTATCAACATCAGACAAAAACTGATAGAAATGCAAGGAGAAATGAATGAATTCACTATTACAGTTGGAGACTTCAACTCTCCTTTATCAAAAGGGACACATTAATAGGTAGAAAATCAGTAAGGCCATAGTTTAAATAAACAACACTATCAATCAACTGGATAGAATTTATATCTATGGACTACTTCATCCAACAACAGCAGAATACGTATTCTTCTCAAGCCCACAGGAAACATTCACCAAGATAGATTACATTTTGGCTAATAAAACACAGCTGAACAATTTAAGAGAATATAAATCGAACAATTTCTGTTCTCAGATTAAAAGGGATTTGACCTAGAAATCAATAACAAAAAGATATCTGAAAAATTCCAAAATACCTAGATGTTAAACAACAAATTTCTAAATAATACCCAGGTCGAAAAAATAAATCTCATCAGATTTTTTAAAAAATTTGAACTAAATAAAAATCAAACTACAGGTCATCAAAATATGTGGCCAGCAGCAGTGGCTCACGCCTATAATTCCAACACTTTGGGAAACCAAAGGGGGAGGATCACTTGAGGCCAAGAATTTGGGACCAGCCTTGGTAATATAGCAAGACCTTATCTCTACAAAATAATAAAAAATAAAAAATATTAGCTGAGTGTGGTGGTGCATGCCTATATCCCTATCTACTGTGGAGTCTGAGGTGAGAGGATAACTTGAGCCCAGGAGTTCTACGTTGCAGTTAGCTATGATTGTATTACTTGCCTTCCAGCCTGGTGACAGAGCAAGACCCTGTCGTTAAATAATAATAATAATCAATAAAATAAAAATATATTAATTAAAATTTGTAGTCTGCAGCAAAAGCAGTGAGTAGAGGGAAATTTGTAACATTTAGTGCATGTATTTAAAAAGAATAAAGTTACAAAATTAATTATCTAAACTTCTATCTTAGAAAAACAGAAAAAGAACAAATTCATTTCAAAGAAAGCAAAAGAAAATAAATTATAAAAATTAGAATACAAATAAAGGAATTGGAAACAGTAAATCAACAGAGAAAAACATAAAACCAAAAGCTGATTGTTAAAAACATCAACTAAACCAGTAAGTCTCTAGCAAGGCTAAATAAGAGAAAAAGAGAGATGAAACAAACTACTCATATAAGGAATGAAAGAGGGGACATAACTACAGATTACATGAACATTGAAAGGATAATAAAGGAATACTAGGAGCAACTTCTTATCCACCAATTTACCTATTGGATAATATAGATAATACAGACCAATTCCTTGAAAGACACAATCTGCCAAAATTTACATGAGAAGAAATAAGCAATCTGAATAGGTCTATAGCAATTCAATAAATTCATAAATAATTCATAACCTTTGTAAAACTGGAAGCAGAGGGCCCAGATGGGTTCACTGGTAAATCCTATCTGACATTTTAAGGAAGAAATTTTACCAGTTCTCTGTGATCTCTTTCAGAAGATAGAGGCAGAGAAAATGCTTTCTAAATCATACTATGACCCAAACTTACTCTTAAAAAGAAAACAGACAGAGACATTGCAGGAAAACTATACACCAATATCTCTCATGAACATAGATGTAAAAATCAACAAGATATAAGCAAATCACATTCAACAATGTGTACAATTAATTATACACCATGACCAAATAGGATTTATCGCAAGTATGCAAAGCTGGTTCAGCATCCAAAATTCAATTAATGTAATCTATCACATCAACAGGGTAAGAAAGAAAAATCACAGAATTCTATCAATAGATATACAAAATTTATTTTGCAAAATCTAACACTCATCAAAAACTCTTAGTACACTAGAAATGGGGGGAACTTCCTCACCTTGGTAAATAATATGTACAAAACAAAACAAAACAAACAAACAAAAAAACCTACAGCTAACATCACACTTAATGGTGAGTTTTCCCACGAAGAGATCAAGAATAAGGCAAAGATATCTCCTTTCACTACTCCTTTTCAGTCCTATACTATAGTTTTAACTAATTCAATAAGACAAGAAAAGGAAATAAGTATACTAATAGAGAAAGAAGAAATTAAAATTGTCTTTTTTTCACAGATGAGATTATTGTCTATGTAAAAAACCTGAAAGAAATGACAAAAAAACACCTAGAAATAGTAAGCAAATATAGCAAGGTTGCAGAATGAAAATTTAATATACAAAAGTCAATCACTTTTCCATATATCAGCAAGGTACAAATGTAACTAGAAGTTTAAAACAATACATTAGCACCTCCCAAAATGAAATAGGCACAAATATACCAAAATGTGACTAAGATTTACATGAAAATAAACAACACTCTGATGAAAGAAATCAAAGAACTAAATGAATACAGATATTATATGTTCAAGTACAAAAAGACTCAATATTGTTAAGATATTAGTTTTTTTCTCACTTGTTATATAGATTCAATGCAATCCCAACCAACATCTCAGTAAGTTATTTTACGTATGTCAACAACTGTTACAGATATTTTGATACAGATATCAAACAAACATCATAAATTTTAAATGAAGGGCAAAAGGCCAAGAATAGCTAACAAAATATTGAAAGAGTAACAATTGTGGATGACTAACATTGCTTGACTTCAAGACTGACTACAAAGCTGTAGAAATCAAGACAATGCTGTATCGATGAAAAAATAGAGAAATAAATAAATGGAACAGAATAGAAAGCCCAGAAACAATAAATTCACATACATGTAACCAACTGATATTTGAAAAAAGAACAAAAGGCAGTACAATGAAACAAATATAGTTTTTTCAACAGATGATGCTGTAACAACTCAACATCCACAGGCAAGCAAAAAAAAAAAGAAAAAGAAAAAAAAGGATCTACGCACAAACCTTGCATCCTTCACAACACAAAATGAATCACAGTCCTAAGCATAAATGCAAAACTATAAAACTCTTCAAAGATAACATAGGAGAAAATCTAGATGACCTTGGCTGTTTGGCAATGACATTTTAGATTCCATATCAAAGGCTAGATCTATAAAAGAAAAAATTGAAAAGCTGGACTTCCTTAAAATTAAAAATTTCTGCTCTGAGAAAGACACTGTCAACAAAATTCAAAGTTATGCAACAAACTGGGAGAAACTATTTGAAAGAGACATACCTAATAAAGGACAGTTAGCCAAATATACAAAGAAATCTTAAAATTCAATGAAAAGAAAACAACCTGATTACAAAGTAGGTCAAAGACTTTAACAGACACCTCACCAAAGAAGACATACAGATGGCAAATAAACATATGAAAAGGTGATCCTCATTGTATATCATCAAGAAAATGAAAATTAAAATGACAGTGAGATATCACTGCTAGAATGGCCCAAATCCAGAACACTAAGAACACAAACGGTGGCAAGGATGTGGAACAACAGCATCATTCATTCCTGCTGGTGGAAATGCAAAATGACAGCAACTTTGGAAGATGATTTGACAGTTTCTTACAAAACTAAATATACTCTTACCACATGATCCAACAATTGAACTTCTTAGTATTTACCCAAGAAGTTGCAAATTTATGTTCATAAAAAAACTTGCACATGAATATATAGCAGCAGTATTCATTATTGCAAAAACTTGGAAACCATCAAGATGTCCCTCAGTAGGTGAGTGGATAACTGGTACATCCAGATCATGGAATGTTATTTAGTACTAACAAGAAATTAAGTATCAATCCTTGAAAATACATGGAGGAACTTTAAATGCATGTCACTAAGTAAAATAAGCCAATCTGAAAACACTACATACTATATGATTCTAAGTATATGATATTCTGGAAAAAGTAAAACTGTGGAGACACTGGAAAGATCAGTGATTACCAGAGGTTGGCGGGGCAGGGGGCAGCGGTGCAGGGAGAAGGTTAACTAGATGAGCACAGAAAAATTTTAATGCTATCTTGTGATAGTCTTATGGCAGATATATGTCCTAGACATAGAATATACAATGCTAAAAGTGAACCACAATATAATCTATGGACTTCAGATAATAATGATAGGTTCATCAATGTAGATTCATTGACTGTAGTAAATGCACCAGTTTGGTGGCAGATGATGATTGTGTGGGAGACTATGCATGTGTGCAGACAGGCTGTAAATGGGAAATGTCTGTGTCTTCTGCTCAATTTTGTTGTGAATCTAAAACTTCTCTAAAAAATAAAATCAATTAAATAAAAAGAAATGGAAAGATACATCAAATACTGAAGACCCTATAGGGCCCAAAGGAAAGTTTTTCCTCTACCCTCTTAAGGTTTGCTGGTAATAAAATGTCTGATAGACAGATTAATAAGAGAAAGGGCATACAGATTTATTTAATATGCATAACATGAGGGAAATATTGGAGAATGATTACCTAATAACCCAATAAATTACAGGTGCTTATAGATCTTTTATTATTATTAGTTTTTGGGGGGACAAGGTGTCACTGTGTCACCCAGGCTGGAGTGCAGTGTGCGATCTCGGCTCACTGCAACCTCTGCCTCCCAGGTTCAAGTGATCTACATGCTTCAGCCTCCCAGGTAGCTGGGATTACAGGCATGCGGCACCATGGCCCAGCTAATTTTTTGAATGTTTAGTAGAGACAGTTTTTCGCTATGTTGGCCAGGCTGGTCTCGAACTCCTGGCCTCAAGTGATCTGTCTACCTCAGCTTCCAAAAATGCTGGGATTACAGGCATGAGCCACCATGCCTAGCTATATATGCCATTTCTTATAAAGGAAAGAGAAGTGGAGGTATAGGATTAAATAATTTTGGGGGAAGGAATGAATGGACCCAGGAGCAGACATTATCTTGTGAATTTCTCTGTTTGGAAATTGAATGGAACTGTAGAACACACAGTGGTTTGGGACAAAGTTGATCTGGGTTCTAGGTGTGGTGTTTAATTTTCAGTGTCTTCCTCTGTAATATGAGTTTTACTCTTCTCTGGTTAATAAAATATCTGGGAAGAGACCAAAGGCAGTTGTGTTCCTCTTTGGTGGTTCTGGTTTCTAGATAGTAAAGGAAACTTCAGAAAATAGCTTCATCTTGTGCTTTGGGAGTAACAAAGGGTGGAGAGATAGGAGGGAGGAAGAAAGGTTAGAGAGGCATTAAGGCTGCTTCCTTTGTTCAGCATGCCGAAACACTATATTTTAAGGCTTCATTTTCTGAGCCCCAACGATAGTTTTGCCCATCAGGGAAGGAGGGAACAAGGTAAAGAGGATAAAGATGGAATATTGATAATTCTAAATGTATTTTGTTTTGCTATTTTTGTGTGGTTTTACTTATTTATAAGATATAAAGTTTAAAAAATCTTTAAAACTTTAGAAAAAATAAAACAATTGAATTTAATTGTTAAAATAATTCATGAGAGACATAGAACACAGATCCAGGAATTTCAATAAATATCAAGTAAGACAAATACCAAAAAACACTTCTAAAAATTGTATTTATACTACTAAAAAACAAATACAAATATAATATGAAATCTTGAAGGATGCCAGTGGTGACTAGGGAATACCTTCCCTGCAGAAAAGCAAGTATGAAAATCAGAGTGAATTTCTTATCTGATGCCATGCAAGCAAGAAGAGAGGGGAATTAAATCTTTCCAGTGTTTAAAAAAAAAAAAGCTGTCAATGTAGAATTCTATGTTCAACAAATGTATCTTTCAAAAGTGAAGAAAAATAACTTTTTAAGAAAAACAAAACCAGGGAATATGTTGCAGGCAGACCAGCACTGCAAGAAATGTTAAAAATTCTTCAGATAATGACATAGGTCATAAATTTGAATCTCATAAAGAAAGGAAGAGTGTTAGAGATGAATTAAATGAGGGAAAAGTAAAATGTTTTATTTTTCTTATTCTTAATTGATATAACAATTAAAACAAGAATAGTAACAATAAATTGGGTGCTTAGAACAGATTGTTACATAAAAATAAATTACAGTAATATCACAAGGGAAAAGAGAGGAATTGACAATATTCTGTAATACCTCCTCTACAAATGAATTGATATAGTGTTATCTGAAGATGGGCATAGTTTATGTAAGAATTATAAGGCCTCGGGCAACCAGTAATATATTTTTGAAAGTAGAAATATAAATGAGGTGCCCGGCTGGGCGCGGTGGCTCATGCCTGTAATCCCAGCACTTTGGAAGGCCAAGGCAGGCGGATCACCTGAGGTCAGGAGTTCGAGACCAGCCTGACTAACATGGTGAAAACCCGTCTCTACATAAAATACAAAAAAAAAAAAAAAATTAGCCAGGTGTAGTGGTGGGCGCCTGTAATCCCAGCTACTTGGGAGGCTGAGGCAGGAGAATCGCTTGAACCCAGGAGGCGGAGGTTGCAGTGAGCCGAGATCACGCCATTGCACTCCAACCTGGGCAACAAAGCGAGACTCTGTCTCAAAAAAAAAAAAAAATGAGGTGCCCAAAGAGGAGGTCAAGTGGAATCGTGTAAAATACTTAAATACAAGAAAAGCCATAAAAGGGGGATGGGGAGGAAGAGATGTAAATAACAAACACAAGGGATACTACCAAAAAACCTGACATACTTAAGTACAAATATGACAAAATATGTACAGAATTTACACTTTAAAACACTGATGAAAAAAATTAAAAATGTTCTAAATAAATGGAAAGGTATTCTATATTCATTGATTGGAAGATTCAATATTATTGAAATGTCAATTATTCCTCGCTTGGTCTACAGATATAATGCAGACCCAGTCAAAATCCAAGTAAGCATTACTGACTCTAAAGTTTATAAAAATGGCAAGACAATAGTAAAGAGCAAAGTTGGAAGATTTACTTTGCACATTTTCAAGACTTACTGCAAAGCTGTAGTAAACAAAACAACCTGTTATTAATGAAAGAATGGAAACGTAGGTAAATGGTAGGTACAGAATAGGAAGGCCAGAAATAGTCTCACATAATTAGAGACAACTGATTTTTAACAAAGACAAAAAAGCAATTCAATGTAGAAAGAATAATCTTTTTTTTAACAAATTTTGCTTGAATAATAGAATTTCCAAATGCAAAAATAAAAACAATCTAGGCACAGGACTCACACATTTTACAAAGAATAACTCAAGATGAATCACAGACCTAATTGTAAAATGCAAAAGTATAAAATGCTAGAAGAAAACATAAAAGTAAATCTGAATGACCTTGGGTTAGATGATGAGTTTTTGTATATAGCACCAAAAGCACAATACATGAGGGAAAATAAATAAAGCCAGTTGGACGTTTTTTAAATTAAAAGCCTGTGTTTTGCAAATGATAAAGAATAAAACAAGTTACACATTAGTGGAACATATTTGGAAATTATATATATATCTATTAAGGGATTTATACCTAGAATGTTCACACTTTACACATACACTTTGCAGATAGTGTGTAAGTATATTAAGAGATATTTAAACATCAATTGTCATTAGGGAAATGCAAATTAAAAGAATAAGTTACAAATACACACTGTTAAGATAGCTAAAATAAATAAAAAACTAACAATGGTAATAGTTGGTAAAAAATATGCAGCAATAGGAGCTTTATTCATTGCTGGAGGGAATGTAAATGGTATGTCCATTTTGGAAGATAGTTCGTCAGTTCCCTACATAGTAAACATATGATCTGGCAATAACCTTTCTAGGTATTTAACTGTTTGAAAACCCTACATTCACACAAAGTACTTTATGTGAAAATTTATAGCAGGGTTGTTTATACCTGCCAAAAACTAGAGGCAACCAAGATGTCCTTCAATAGGTTAGTTATAATCTAACAATATTAAGTGATAACAGGAATGAGCTGTCAACATGGTTGTATCTTAATTGCATATTGTTCAGTAAAGACGACAATCTGATACAGCTACATATCAAATTATCTTATTTATATAATGCTAAGGAAAAGTAAAAATTAGGGGATCCAGGGATGTAATGCAAACTATAAGACAATAATTTAATGGTATCAAAATGTATGACATAACCTCACTAAATGGGGTGGGGGAAAAAAGCACTTACCTAAGTAATGAGTGAAGTGAACATTCTATAAGATACTGTATATAAACAAAAACTGTACAATAAATAGCCTTTGCTTATTCTCATTTGGGTGCCCTTTGTTTACATCCACACTAGATATCAGGGTAATGTAGATTAACACTGTAATGAGATACCACAATAGACATACTTAAATGGTAAAGTTAAATCACTAATCACTAACAAAGCCTTAGTGAGAATGCAGAGCAGTGGTTCTCAACTGGTGGTGATTTTTGCACTTGGTGAACGTTTGATAATGTCTTGAGATATTTTGGTAATCACAAATGGAGGGGAGAAGTGTGCTCCTGGCATCTAGTGGGAGAAGAGGCCAAGGATACTATTCAGCATATAAAATGCACAAGAAAGTCCCTCACAACAAAGAATTATTCATTCCAAGATGTCATAGCGCTATTGTCGAGAAATCCTGATGCAGAGAAAATTGAAACTTCAAAGACTGCTAGTAGGAATGCAAAATGATATATGCATATTGAAAAACATTTTGGCAGTATCTTACAAAGTTAAATTTGCATATACCATATAACCCAGCTATTTCGTTTGTAAATGTTTACCCAGAAGAAATGAAAATATATGTTCACACGAAGACCTGCAGGAGTATATTTATAGAGCAGTATTATTTATAATAATTAGTACACTAGAAACAACATGACAAATAAATATACAAATTTTGGTATCCTTACTGTGGAATTCTACTTAGCAGTGAAAAGGAGTACGATGTAAATATATTCACAGCATGACGAATCGTAACATTGAATTAAGTAAAAGGAGTCAACACAAATGATTTTACAGCGTTGATCCCATTTGTAAGAAATTCTAGAAAGGCAAATCTATAAAGGCAGAAGTCAGATGTGTGGTTGCCTGGAGGCATAATCAGGAAAATGCTTGAATGCCAAAGGCAGAATCTTTAGAGGGTAAGGGAACTATTCTGTACCTTAATTGTAATGATGGTTAAATATACGCAATTACTAAAACTCATCCAACTATATACCTAAAATGAGTGAATTCTATTGTAAAAAATTTCTGCCTATAAATCTATTAAAAATTTAAAAATAGAAACTAGAAAATAGAAAGTGCTATTTGGCTTTGATTCACTAATTGTGTTGAATGTATGCAGAGAAGTCATAAAATATCAATGAAAACAAAAGGAGGTCATTGATGATCTGATTCTATCAAGAGCAGTTTGAAAACTGTTAGTACCAAAACTCAGAATTCAGTGGGCTTTGCAAAAATGGGCAGTAAGGACACAAACAATAAATACATATTACATTTTTAAGAAATTGAATTGAATGAAGAGGAGAGATAGCATGATACCAAAAGCAAGAACAAAAGCTAAAGTGAGACTTGTATCATAGAAGAGACTAAGAGGGCTGATGAAGATGCAAAAGAGAAAGCCTGATGCCAAGGGAATGAGGTTGAAAGCTTAATCAGGGTGGTTGTCCTTAGTCAAAATAAAGGATGCTCCCTCATGCAGACTAGAAAAAAAGGAAATTAAGACCAATTTGATTGTATATACATTTGTGGGGAAAACAGGAAGCTGAGAGAGATGGTGGTTTTCTTGATTTTCTCAGTAAGCAGGAAAAAGATAAACTTGCTTAGAGTAGGGAAGAATGTGGGCCTCCAGGGGGTAAGTAAAACTTTATAGTCAAAAGGGAAGGAGCCAGTATGACTATAACTAGTGGAGATTTGTAAAAGGATTGAGGAACAGTGCTGAAGATCTTGATGCTATAGACCATATGTTGCTAGTGGTTCACATTTATAAAGTTGACTGATACCTTTAGAAAGTGTATTCTTACAGTTTTAGAGCAGAAAAGTTTAACTTTAGCATTGATCAATTCAAGTTTTGCTTCACAGGTGTGGTTGAAGGCGGAAGATACTAAGCAATTAAGGATGTTGGTGAGAATATTGTTTTAGAATATTGTTTCACCTAAATTATCAAATTTGCCCAACCCAAGACAAGTAGAGAAGAGAGAGTTCAAAAATAACTATTCGACTTCTTAGGGTACCTTATCTCTTAGGTATCCTAAGAGATATACTTCTGCTTCAGTAACACACACACACATTCAGGCACTCACATTGTTAAGTCAAAACAGTTTCAAAGGACATCTTCCTAAGCATATGTTAAAGGAGCCCAAATCTGTAAAAACACAGAGTAGACAAAATTATTTTTTTCAAAGCTTCTTTATCTCTGGTAGTGTTAGGTTGCTTATATCAAATTACACATTATATAAAATAAAAATAGAAGTGTTTAAAATCTTATTCTAATACTTAGCCTGATTTCAATTAAAAAAACTCTGAATAAAAATTTGAGAATGATAGATCCCTTAAGATGGTCTATCATCCCACCACTGTGACATAATGGTTAATATAATTTGCCTAGTGTCATAATTATAAGTCTTTCATGCGTGACATGTAAAAATATCTGCTAGGAACTGGCAAATATTTTCATATGGTTACTTTAGTACTATTTGTACCTCAACAACAATTGAAATTTATAAAATCTGTCAAATCAAGTATTTACTGTTTCATATATATGCAAAAATGGTATAATACACTTATTTTTAGTTATATAAAATGGTTTGCCAACTTAAATATAAAAATATGCATACAAATAAAATGTGACAATCTTGAAATTCTTATATAACAGACCAAAAAAGCCTCAAAAGAAGTATTTTTCACATTTTACCGTTTAAGCATTATCCATAGACAATTCACAATTTATTTTTCACTTGACATTATTAAGCCCATAAACATGTGTATCTGTGAATCTGCCTGTATGTGTGCATGCTTCTTTAGAAAAAATGGCAGATAGAACAATGACTTTGAAGGCACGACTTAGCCATTTATCAGTCTCTGGAGTTCTAGAAGCCTTGTTTTTATGATGTGTTTCATTTCAGATATTGTGATCCACGACACTGAAACTTTCCAAGTGAAGCTCAAGGTTATTTACAAGAAAGCATTTATTATTTTAGAAAATAAGCAGTTAAAAAATCCTACACATCAATACAAGCTAGGTTAAGCATCACTTTTGAAGGCAAGGAGAATTGCATTTGTCTAGGCTGTAAAACCTAAGTTTAGATAAAGAATCCAGCAATAAAGCTGAAAGGAAGAAGGGATAAAAGGGACAGGATATTATTAAAGCTTATCACTCCTTAGGTCCATACAGTTCAATGACAGTTTCAAAAGGATGTGCTGATAAAGGATTTGCCTGCAGTTTGACACACTGTGCAGGGGTTCCAGTAAGCCTCTTGTGGAACAAAGAAAGCTAAGACATTTCTGAAGCTTGAATAGAAGAATGACAGCTCTGAACCCAAGGGGCAGCCTTTCCCTAAGGCTTTATATATATATATGGCTTTTACTCCATATATATATATACACTGAGAGAGATAGAGCAAAATATATATATAGCTATATATAGCTATATATAAATATATATTTTACTGTGCTAATGATAATACCAAAGCTATAACCAAAATTGCTACCTCCTTCCCAGAAATTTATGAGAGCCCATAGTAAAACCTTAAATGTTTAGAAAAATAGCATTGTTTATACTTTATCATAGTTCTTATATTTGTTAAATCTTGCTGAGCCATTATCACTGTGAAGACCACTAGGTTAGTACCAATGACAAAATTATGCCAAAAAATAGAGTGTACGGGGTTGATTTATTCTACCAAATAAAGCATCTTTAAAATTTAAAGACAATGAAATCCAGCTAAATGTTAGATTACCATCTTGAATATATACAATCTAATAAACAAAAATACAAATAATAGTTTAAAATTGAGGCAATATTTTACTTGTTTGGTTTACCTAATTATCAACTTACTTATGTAGTTAATGCAAAATGTCCTTTGCACAGGCCTTAACTTGAATGTGACAGAATAAAGATTCTGAAAATATATCAGATAAATAGTTTTATTTTTTAACTTTTAGGAAGTAAGGGACACTTTTAAAAATATATAAACATTACACACTATTATTTTATATAACCTGGAAAACATTCACTTCTGAAAATATGAGCAGTTTTATTTCCTTTATCTTTGTAGAAATTAAGAGATAGTATCAAAAATAAATATATATAAAAATCACAGTTTTACCATATATAATCTGGTAAATATTAAAAGTATAAATTTTCTAAAATAAAAATTTAACCACCATGAACACTGCGATATATTTAATTTTATTTATTTACTGCAAATATAGTTAAAATTATTCATGGTATACATTCTGTAACTATTTTTCATTTACATTTTCATGAAAATGAAGCAAGAACTCCTGAGAAAATCATCAATTACAAATATATGCAGTTTCTGGCTAGCCATATGTAGAAAGCTGAAACTGGATGCCTTCCTTACACCTTATACAAAAATTAATTCAAGATGGATTAAAGACTTAAACGTTAGACCTAAAACCATAAAAACCCTAGAAGAAAACCTAGGCAATACCATTCAGGACATAGGCATTGGTAAAGACCTCATGTCTAAAACACCAGAAGCAATGGCAACAAAAGCCAAAATTCACAAATGGGATCTAATTAAACTAAAGAGCTTCTGCACAGAAAAAGAAACTACCATCAGAGTGAACAGGCAACCTACAGAATGGGAGAAAATTTTTGCAATTTACTAATCTGACAAAGGGCTAATATCCAGAATCTACAAAGAACTCAAACAAATTTACAAGAAAAAAACAACCCCATCAAAAAGTGGGTGAAGGATATGAACAGACACTTCTCAAAAGAAGACATTTATGCAGCCAACAGACTCATGAAAAAATGCTCATCACTGGCCATCAGAGAAATGCAAATCAAAACCACAATGAGATACCATCTCACACCAGTTAGAATGGCGATCATTAAAAAGTCAGGAAACAACAGGTGCTGGAGAGGATGTGGAGAAATAGGAACACTTTTCCACTGTTGGTGGGACTGTAAACTAGTTCAACCATTGTGGAAGTCAGTGTGGCGATTCCTCAAGGGTCTAGAACTAGAAATAACCATTTGTTCCAGCCATCTCATCACGGGTACATACCCAAAGGATTATAAATCATGCTGCTATAAAGACACATGCACATTTATGTTTATTGTGGCACTATTCACAATAGCAAAGACTTGGAACCAACCCAAATGTCCAACAACGATAGACTGGATTAAGAAAATGTGGCACATATACACCATGGAATACTACGTAGCCATAAAAAATGATGAGTTCATGTCCTTTGTAGGGACATGGATGAAGCTAGAAACCATCATTCTCAACAAACTATCTCAAGGACAAAAAACCAAACACCTCGTGTTCTCACTCATAAGTGGGAACTGAACAATGAGAACACTTGGACACAGGAAGGGGAACATCACACACCAGGGCCTGTTGTGGGGTTGGGGGAGGAGGAAGGGATAGCATTAGGAGATATACCTAATGTAAATGACGAGTTAATGGGTGCAGCACACCAACATGGCACATGTACACATATGTAACAAACCAGCACGTTGTGCACATGTACCCTAGAACTTACAGTATAATAAATATATATATATATGCAGTTTCCTGTGTTCAATTTTATTTATTTTAAATTAACAAATAAAATTGTACATATTTACCATACATAGCATAATATTTGAAGTATATATACATTAGGGAATGCCCAAATCTAGCTAATTAACATAAGCATACCTCATATAGTTATTATTTTTGTGGTGAAAAAACTTTCTATCCACACTCAGCATTTTTCAACAATACTATAATGCTAACTATAGTCACCATGTTTTGCAATAGATTTCTTGAAGTTATTGATCCTATCTAGCTGAAATTTTGTGACCTTTGACAAACGTCTCCCCAACAGCCTCTGCCCACCCACCATCCTAGTCCCTGATAACTACCATCCTATCCTCTACTTACATGAGGTCTTTTTTTATTTTTGTAAATTTCACATATGAATGATATGCAGTGTTTGTCTTTCTGTACTGGGCTTATTTCACTTAGCATATGTCCTTCAAGTTCACCCATGTTGCTGCAAATGACAGGGTTTACTTTATTTTTATGGCTGCATAGTATTTTATTGTGTATATATACCAATTTTCTCTATCCATTCATCTGTTGTTGGATACTTAGGTTGATTCCACATCTTGGTGATTGTGAATAAGGCTGTGATAAACATCAGCATGCAGATATTTCTTCCACATACTGGTTTCATTTTCTTTGGATAAATATTCAGTAGGGGGATCATATGGTAGTTCTATTTAATTTTTAGAGAAACCTCCATATTGTTTTTATAATGGCTGTACTAATTTACACTTCCACCAATGGTATGTGAGGTTTCCCTTTCCTCTATATCCTACCCAACACAGTATATTCTATCTTTTTTATATTAGCCATTCTAAATATGAGATGATATCCCATTGTGGTTTAAATGTGCATTTGCCTGTGATGTTGAGCAATTTTGTGTATACTTGTTTTTTTTTTTTTTTTGCCTTCTTTTGAGAAACGTCTATTCAGGTCGATTGCCCATTTTTTAATTGGGTCATTTGCTTTCTTGATATATAAGACTCAAAATACTATGCAGCCATAAAAAAGGATGAGTTTATGTCCTTTGCAGGGACATGGATGAAGCTGGAAACCATCGTTCTCAGCAAACTAACACAGGGACAGAAAACCAAATACCTCATATTCTCACTCATAAGTGGGAGTTGATCAATGAGAACACATGGACACAGGGAGGGGAACATCACACACAGGGGCCTGTCCGAGGGTGCAGGACTAGAGGATGGATAGCACTGGGAGAAATACCTAATATAGATGATGGGTTGATGGGTGCAGCAAACCACCAAGGCACGTGTATACAAATGTAACAAACCTGCACGTTCTGCACATTTACCCCAGAATTTAAAGTATAATTTTTAAAAAATCAACTCAAAATGGATTTAAGACATAAATGTAAAACCTGAAACTGAAACTACTAGAAGAAAACCTATGAGGGAAGCTCCATGGCATTGGTCTGGGCAGTGACTTTTGGATATGACCTTAAAAGCATAGGCAACAAAAGTAAAAATGGACAAATGGGATTATATCAAAATAAAAATCTTCTGCACAGAAAATGAAACAATCAGTGGAATGAACAGATAACTTACAGAATAGGAGAAAATATTTGCAAACTGTACATCTAATAAGGGTTAATATCCAAAATATATAAGGAACTGAAATATACATGTTTTCATGAAAAAAATTTATTAAGCCATCCAAAAACTGTGTAGGTTTTAGGGAGCTAGAATGTGTTTGGAATGAATTTTTAAACTTAAAAGTAGTAGATGAAGCAAGTAAAACATTGCATTTATTAAGAGTATAGATAATAAAAATGAAAATGAGTCTTCTTCCTCACCACAGAACCACAATAATCTACCCAAGACACAACACTTTCATTGGTTTCTTTTATACCCTTCTGGAAATTTTGTATCTTTGTAAACAAAAAAAAAAAAAAACTCTCCCCCTGTCTTTTTTTATCTTCCTCTCTGTATACGTGACTTAAGTGACTGCTTAAGTGACTTGCTTAAGTGACTGCAAATATATTTATCTACATGCTTAGTAAGCATATATATGTGCTTGGTAACGTTTTCTTATCTGCAGATATGTATCTAAAGCCATTAATCTTAACAGTTGTAAAAGTTGTAAAGGGATTTAGGATACTTAACCAAAGTTTATTTAACTTGTTATTTTTGAACTTGAGTTTATTTCAGAAATTTATTTTTAAAACAAGGTTATAACATATTAATGTACTTAGAACTCTATAGAAATGTGTGATATTTGGAAATATTCCTAGAGGTAGAGATGCTGATAAAACAAGTAGGCTTTTTAAGTTTGGTAGCTGTTGCTAAATAGCTTTCTAAACAAGTTACTCGAATTCATATTTTCACTAATAATGCCTCAATAGCCTGTCAATCCATGTTCTTGTACACTCTGTACATTATCAAAATATGTGACTGTTTTCAAAATAATAGGTTAAAAGAATGGACTGTTAACTTTGATTTAGCCTGCATTACTTTACCTATGAGTGTGCCTGATCTTCAATATAGCTATTGTAATTGTTTTAGAGCTCCACTACTGAGCCCATATAAAACAGCAAATGTAATTGATACATGTGTATGTTCTGACAGTTCCACCAGCTGGCTCTATCTCCCATCTCTCTCACTCTCCTCGGTTCTCCCTATTCCCTGAGATGTGATAATATTAAAATTAGGCCAATTAATAACCTTACAATGGCCTCTAACTGTCCAGGTGAAAAGAAGAGTCACATGTCTCTCACTTTAAATCAAAAGGTGGAAATTACTAAGCTTAGTGAGGAAGGCATGTCAAAAGCCATGATAGGCTTAAAGCTAGACATTTTGCATGAAACAGTTAGCCAAGTTGTGAATGCAAAGGAAAAGTTCTTGAAGAAAATTAAAAGTTCGACTTCAGTGAACCAACAAACAATAAGAAAATGAAACAGCCTCATTGCTATTTTAGTGGTCTGGATAGAAGACAAAGCCAGCCACAAGATTCTCCTATCCAGAGCAAAGCCACAACTCTCTTCAAGTCTACGAAAGCTGAGAGAAATGAGGAATCTGCAGAAAATAAGTTTGAAGCTAGCAGAGGTTGGTTCTTGAGGTTTAAGAGAAGAAACTATCTTCCTAACATAAAAGTGCAACAGGAAGCAACAAGTGGTGATGTAGACAGTGCAGCAAGATATCCGGAAGATCTGGCTAAGATAAATGATAAATTGGATACACCAAACAGCAGATTTTTACGGCAGATAAAATGGCCTTCTATTGGAAAAAAATACCACCTAAGATTTTCACAGCTAGACAGGAGAAATCAATGCCTGGCTTCAAAGCTTCAAAAGACAGGTTGACTCTCTTGTTAGGGGTGAATTCAGCTGGTGCTTTGAGTTGAGTTGAAGTTCATTCTCATTGACCATTTGGAAAATATTAGAGCCCTTAAAAATTATGCTAAATCTCCTCTGCTTGTGCTCTATACATGGAAAACAAAGTTTGCATAACAGCACATCTCTTAACAGCATGATTTACTGATATTTTAAGCCCACTGTTGAGACCTACTGTTTAGAGAAAAGATTCCTTTCCAAGTATTACTATTTATTGATTATGCAGCTAGTCACCCAAGAGCTCTGATAGAGATGTATAAGATTAATGTTTTTATGCCTGTTAGCATAACATGTATCATGTAGCCTATGCATCAAGGAGTAATTCTGACTTTCAAGTCTTATTATGTTAGAAATAAATTTTCTAAACATATATAGCTTAGTAGGCAATGATTCCTGTGATGGATCTGGGCAAAATAAACTGAAAATCTTCTAGAAACAATTATTTCTATATGCCACTAAGAACATTTTTGATTTATGGGAGGATGTCAAAATATCAACATTAACAAGAATTTGAAGAAGTTGATTCCAACCTTCATGGTTTACTTTGAGAGGTTCAATACTTCAGTAAAGGAAGTTACTACAGATGTGGTGGAAATGGCAAGAGAACTAGAAGTGGACCCTGAATATGTGACTGAATTGCTGCAATCTTATGATCAAATTTAAAAAGATGAGGAGTTGCTTCTTATGCATGAGAAAACAAGGTGGTTTCTTTAGATGGAATTTACTCCTGGTGAAGATGCTGTGAACAGTGTTCGTATGACAAAAAAAAAAAAATTAGAATTTAGAATATTACCTAAACTTAGTTGATAAAGCAGTAGCAAGGTTTGAGAGGATTGACTCCAATTTTGAAAGAACTTTTACTATGGGTAAAATGCTATCAAACAGCACTGCATGCTACAGGGAATCTTTTTTAAAAGAAATAATCAATTAAACTTCAGTGGCAAACTTCATTGTTATTTATTATTTTAAAAAATTTCCAGAGTCATCCCAACCTTTAGCAACCATCACCTTGATCAGTCAGCAGCCATCATCACTGAGGAAAACCCTCTACCAGCTAAAAGATTATGACTCACAGAAAGATTACGTGATTAGAATTTTTAGCAATAAAGTATTTTTAATTAAAGTACGTACACTGTCTGTTAGATATAATGCTATTTTTTCTTAATAGACTACAAGATGGTGTAAACATAACATATACACTGGGAAACCAAAACAGGTGTGTGACTCAATTTATTGTGATATTCACTTTATTGTGGTGGTCTGGAATCAAATCTGCTATATCTCTGAGATATGCCTAATTTGTAGTCATTTGCATCTTTTTTTAACCTAATATTCTCCCTGTTAGATTCACTATGTTGTTGCATGCAACATTTTTTTTTACAGCTGAGTAACATCACACTGTATGAATATGCCACATATATTTAACTTGCATCTGATCATTTTTGATTGACTTTTATATTGCTTATAAAATTTCAAAGTAATTTCGAGGCTGATATGATGTTAGCTTCTTGCAAATAGGATTTACATGTGCTTTAAATGGTATCTGGTGGCAAATTACTTTAACCTAAATAAGTTTTAAGATGCTTTTAAACGAGGATTTCAGGACCAGTGTATTTCTAATTAACTCTTATTTCCTGGTTGTAGCTCTTTTGGGAAACCAAGCTAAAGTATTGGTGATGAGCCAGACACCCCCATTCTCAGCAGATGGGGAGCACCATTTTTTATTTACTAATCCCTGTAGTTCGCCAAAAGATCTGCTCTGCTCTTAATTCCTCCACTTCCTTTTCTGTACCTCAAGAGTACATTTAGGATCAAATGCATTTCGTCTGTTTTTCAAGGGGACAAGCAGGATTTTGAAGGAAGCAATTCCTTATATGTGTACTTTTAAAATACAGAGAAGCTATTTTATTTTATGTTGTCATACCTTTTAATAGTTGCTTCTTCTTTTACATATCTTTACTATTTCTTCTAAACAGTAGGCACTTATTCAAGTTTGAAATAAATGAAATATTGGTGTACACTAAGATTGGCATTTTATACATTTTATTCTGTATAAACTTGCAGACTTTTCATTTTGTCATCATTTTTTCATTAATGTTTGCCAAAAGAATTTTTTTTCTGTAGTATTTCTACATCTTATAAAATTTTAACAATAGCACTTTATGTAGAAGACGTCTACTCACCTCACTGTAGGCTCTTTTAAACCACTTTCATTGGCTATCTTTCTTAACCAAGAAGAGTATATTATGAAATTCAGTTTCATACCAAAAAATGAATAAAATAGCTTTGGTGAGAGAGAGAGATAAAATGAAAAGCAAGAGGGACTGAAGGGAGGCTTTGAATGTGATAGAGTAAAACAATTGCCAGGAAGAGACTGTGGGTAGAAAAGTGATACCTACTGATGTTTCTTTAATAACTCAATCGTCAATAGGTATCACTTTTCTGCCCACAGTCTCTACCTGGCAATTGTGTTACTCTATCACATTCAAAGCCTCCCTTCAGTCCCTCTTGCTTTTCATTTTATCTCTCTCTCTCACCAAAGCTATTTTCTTTAGTAACTCAGTCGTGCCTTGGGGGTGGAGCCAAGATGGCCGAATAGGAACACCTCCAGTCTACAGCTCCCAGCGTGAGCAACACAGAAGATGGGTGATTTCTGCATTTCCAACTGAGGTACCGGCTTCATCTCACTAGTGGGTGCAGTGAACCAAGCCTGAGCTGAAGCAGGGTGAGGCATCGCCTCACCCAGGAAGCGCAAGGGGTCAGGGAATTCCCTTTCCTAGTCAAAGAAAGGGTGACAGATGGCACCTGGAGAATCAGGTCACTCCCACCCTAATACTGCATTTCTCCAACTGTCTTAGCAAACGGCACACCAGGAGATTATATCCCGCGCATGGCTCGGAGGGTTCTATGCCCACGGAGCCTCGCTCATTGCTAGCACAGCAGTCTGAGATCAAACAGCAAGGCTGCAGCGAGGCTGGGGGAGGGGCGCCCACCATTGCTGAGGCTTGAGTAGGTAAACAAAGCGGCCTGGAAGCTCAAACTGGGTGAAGCCCACCGCAGCTCAAGGAGGCCTGCCTGCCTCTGTAAACTCCACCTCTGGGGGAAGGGCATAGCCAAACAAAAGGCAGCAGAAAACTCTGCAGACTTAAATATCCCTGTCTGACAGCTATGAAGAGAGTAGTGGTTCTCCAAGCACGCAGCTGGAGATCTGAGAATGGACAGAATGCCTCTTCAAGTGGGTCCCTGACCCCTGAGTAGCCTAACTGGGAGGCACCCCCCAGTAGGGGCAGACTGACACCTCACATGGCAGGGTACTCTTCTGAGACAAAACTTCCGGAGGAATGATCAGGCAGCAAAATTTGCTGTTCACCAATATCTGCTGTTCTTCAGCCTCTGCTGCTGATACCCAGGCAAACAGGGTCTGGAGTGGACCTCCAGCAAACTCCAACAGACCTGCAGCTGAGGGTCCTGACTGTTAGAAGGAAAACTAACAAACAGAAAGGACATTCATACCAAAACCCCATCTGTACATCACCATCATCAAAGACCAAAGGCAGATAAAACCACAAAGATGGTGAAAAAGCAGAGCAGAAAAACTGGAAACTCTAAAAATCAGAGCACCTCTCCTCCTCCAAAGGAACACAGCTCCTCACCAGCAACGGAACAAAGCTGGATGGAGAATGACTTTGACGAGTTGAGAGAAGAAGGCTTCAGACAATCAAACTACTCCGAGCTAAAGGAGAAAGTTCGAACCCATGGCAAAGAAGTTAAAACCCTTGAAAAAAAATTAGATGAATGACTAACTAGAATAACCAATGCCAAGAAATCCTTAAAGGACCTGGTGGAGTTGAAAACCCTGGTACGAGAACTATGTGACGAATGCACAAGCCTCAGAAGCCGATTCGATCAACTGGAAGAAAGGGTATCAGTGATGGAAGATCGAATGAATGAAACGAAGCAAAAAGAGAAGTTTAGAGAAAAAAGAATAAAAAGAAATGAACAAAAGCCTCCAAGAAATATGGGACTATGTGAAAAGAACAAATTGCGTCTGATTGGTGTACCTGAAAGTGACGGGGAGAATGGAACCAAGTTGGAAAACACTCTGCAGGATATTATGCAGGAGAACTACCCCAATCTAGCAAGGCAGGCCAATATTCAAATTCGGGAAATACAGAGAACACCACAAAGATACTCCTCGAGAAGAGGAACCCCAAGACACATAATTGTCAGATTCACCAAAGTTGAAATGAAGGAAAAAATGTTACGGGCAGCCAGAGAGAAAGGTCGGGTTACCCACAAAGGGAAGCCCATCAGACTAACAGCTGATCTCTCAGCAGAAACTCTGCAAGCCAGAAGAGAGTGGGGGCCAATATTCAACATTCTTAAAGAAAAGAATTTACAACCCAGAATTTCATATCGAGCCAAACTAAGCTTCATAAGTGAAGGAGAAATAAAGTACTTTACAGACAAGCAAATGCTGAGAGATTTTGTCACAACCAGCCCTGCCCTAAAAGAGCTCCTGAAGGAAGCACTAAACATGGAAAGGAACAACCAGTACCAGCCACTGCAAAAACATGCCAAATTGTAAAGACCATCAAGGCTAGGAAGAAACTGCATCAACTAATGAGCAAAATCACCAGCGAACATCATAATGAAAGGATCAAATTCACACATAACAATATTAAGTTTAAATGTAAATGGGCTAAATGCTCCAATTGAAAGACACAGGCTGGCAAATTGGATAAAGAGTCAAGACCCATCAGTGTGCTGTATTCAGGAAACCCATCTCACGTGCAGAGACACACATAGGCTCAAAATAAAGGGAGGGAGGAAGATCTACCAAGCAAATGGAAAACAAAAAAAGGCAGGGGTTGCAATCCAAGTCTCTGATAAAACAGACTTTAAACCAAGAAGATCAAAAGAGACAAAGAAGACCATTACATAATGGTAAAGGGATCAATTCAACAAGAACTAACTATCCTAAATATATATGCACCCAATACAGGAGCACCCAGATTCATAAAGCAAGTCCTTAGAGACCTACAAAGAGACTTGGACTCCCACACAATAATAATGGGAGACTTTAACACCCCATTGTCAACATTAGACAGATGGAGACAGGAAGTTAACAAGAATACCCAGGAACTGAACTCAGCTCTGCACCAAGCGGACCTAATAGACATCCACAGAACTCTCCACCCCAAATCAACAGAATATACATTCTTTTCAGCACCACACCTATTCCAAAAATGACCACATAGTTGGAAGTAAAACACTCCTCAGCAAATGTAAAAGAACAGAAATGATAACAAACTGTCTCTCAGACCACACTGCAACCAAACTAGAACTTAGGATTAAGAAACTCACTCAAAACCGCTCAACTACATGGAAACTGAACAACCTGCTCCTCAATGACTAGTGGGTACACAACAAAATGAAGGCAGAAACAAAGATGTTCTTTGAAACCAACGAGAACAAGGACACAACATACCAGAATCTCTGCGATACATTCAAAGCACTGTGTAGAGGGAAATTTATAGCACTAAATGCCCACAAGAGAAAGCAGGAAAGATCTAAAATGGACACCCTAACATCACAATTAAACTAGAGAACAGCAGACACATTCAAAAGCTAGCACAAGGCAAGAAATAACTAAGATCAGAGCAGAACTGAAGGAAATAGAGACACAAAATACCCTTCAAAAAATCAATGAATCCAGGAGCTGCTTTTTTGAAAAGATCAACAAAATTGATAGATGGCTAGCAAGACTAATAAAGAAGAAAAGAGAGAAGAATCAAATAGACGCAATAAAAAATGATAAAGGGGATATCACCACCGATCCCACAGAAATACAAACTACCATCAGAGAATACTATGAACACCTCTATGCAAATTAACTAGAAAATCTAGAAGAAATGGATAAATTCCTCGACACATACACCTTCCCAAGACCAAACCAGGAAGAAGTTGAATCTCTGAATAGACCAATAACAGGCTCTGAAATTGAGGCAATAATTAATAGCTTACCAACCAAAAATGTCCAGGACCAGATGGATTCACAGCCGAATTCTACCAGAGGTACAAAGAGGAGCTGGTACCATCCCTTCTGAAACTATTCCAATGAATAGAAAAAGAGGGAATCCTCCCTAACTCATTTTATGAGGCCAGCATTATCCTGATACCAAAGCCTGGCAGAGACACAACAAAAAAAGAGAATTTTAGACCAATATCCTTGATGAACATTGATGCAAAAATCCTCAATAAACTACTGGCAAACCAAATCTGGCAGCATATCAAAATGCTTATCCACCATGATCAAGTGGGCTTCATCCCTGGGAGGCAAGGCTGGTAAAACATACTCAAATCAATGAACATAATCCAGCATATAAACAGAACCAATGACAAAAACCACATGACTATCTCAATAGATGCAGAAAAGTCCTTTGACAAAATTCAACAACACTTCATGCTAAAAACTCTCAATAAATTAGGTATTGATGGGACGTATCTCAAAATAATAACAGCTATCTATGACAAACCCATAGCCAATATCATACTGAATGGACAAAAACTGGAAGCATTCCCTTTGAAAAGTGCCACAAGACAGGGATGCCCTCTCTCACCACTCCTGTTCAACATAGTGTTGGAAGTTCTGGCCAGGGCAATTAGGCAGGAAGAGGAAATTAAGGGTATTCAATTAGGAAAAGAGGAAGTCAAATTGTCCCTGTTTGCAGATGACAGGATTGTATATCTAGAAAATCCCATCGTCTCAGCCCAATATCTCTTTAAGCTGATAAGCAACTTCAGCAAAGTCTCAGGATACAAAATCAATGTGCAAAAATCACAAGCATTCTTATACACCAATAACAAACAAACAGAGAGCTAAATCATGAATGAACTCCCATTCACAATTGCTTCAAAGAGAATAAAATACCTAGGAATCCAACTTACAAGGGATGTGAAGGACCTCTTCAAGGAGAACTACAAACCACTGCTCAATGAATTAAAAGAGGATACAAACAAATGAAAGAACATTCCATGCTCATGGGTAGGAACAATCAATATCGTGAAAATGGCCATACTGCCCAAGGTAATTTATAGATTCAATGCCTTCCCCATCAAGTTACCAATGACTTTCTTCACAGAATTGGAAAAAACTACTTTAAAGTTCATATGGAACCAAAAAAGAGGCCGCATTGCCAAGTCAATCCTAAGCCAAAAGAACAAAGCTAGAGGCATCACGCTACCTGACTTCAAACTATACTACAAGGCTATGGTAATCAAAACAGCATGGTACTGGTACCAAAACAGAGATATAGACCAATGGAACAGAACAGAGCCCTCAGAAATAATGCCGCATATCTACAGCTGTCTGATCTTTGACAAACCTGACAAAAACAAGCAATGGGGAAAGGATTCCCTATTCAATAAATGGTGCTGGGAAAACTGGCTAGCCATATGTAGAAAGCTGAAACTGGACCCCTTCCTTACACCTTATACAAAAATTAATTCAAGATGGATTAAACACTTAAATTTTAGACCTAAAACCGTAAAGACCCTAGAAGAAAACCTAGGCAATACCATTCAGGACATAGGCATGGGCAAGGACCTCATCTCTGAAACACCAAAAGCAATGGCAACAAAAGCCAAAATCGACAAATGGGATCTAATTAAACTAAAGAGCTTTTGCACAGAAAAAGAAACTACTATCAGAATGAACAGGCAGCCTACAGAATGGGAGAAAATTTTTGCAATTTACTCATCTGACAAAGGGCTAATATCCAGAATCTACTATGAACTCCAACAAATTTACAAGAAAAAAACAACGCCATCAAAAAGTGGGCGAAGGATATGAACAGACACTTCTCAAAAGAAGACATTTATGCAGCCAAAAGACATGAAAAAATGGTCATCATCACTGGCCATCAAAGAAATGCAAATCAAAACCACAATGAGATACCATCTCACACCAGTTAGAATGGCGATCATTAAAAAGTCAGGAAACAACAGGTGCTGGAGAGGATGTGGAGAAATAGGAACACTTTTACACTGTTGGTGGGACTGTAAACTAGTTCAACCATTGTGGAAGTCAGTGTGGTGATTCCTCAGGGATCTAGAACTAGAAATACCATTTGACCCAGCCATCCCATTACAGGGTATATACCCAAAGGATTCACTTTTGCACTGTTGGTGGGACTGTAAACTTGTTCAACCATTGTGGAAGTCAGTGTGGCGATTCCTCAGGGATCTAGAACTAGAAATACCATTTGACCCAGCCATCCCATTTCTGGGTATATATCCAAAGGATTATAAAAGATACTGCTATAAAGACACATGCACACATACGTTTATTGCAGCACTATTCACAATAGCAAAGACTTGGAACCAACCCAAATGTCCAACAATGATAGACTGGATTAAGAAAATGTGGCACATATACACCACGGAATACTATGCAGCCATAAAAAAGGATGAGTTCATGTCCCTTGTAGGGACATGGATGAAGCTGGAAACCATCATTATCAACAAACTATCGCAAGGACAAAAAAACAAACACTGCGTGTTCTCACTCATAGGTGGGAATTGAACAATGAGAACACATGGACACAGGAAGGGGAACATCACACACAGGGTCTGTTGTGGGGTGGAGGGAAGGGGAGGGATAACAGTAGGAGATATACCTAATGTTAAATGACGAGTTAATGGGTGCAGCACACCAACATGGCACATTTATACATATGTAACAAACCTGCACGTTGTGCACATGTACCCTAAAACTTAAAGTATAATTTAAAAAATTTAAAAAAAAACTCAGTCGTAAAGAGAAGAATCGTTTACAAGTTTAATTGAAAACAGACATATGACAGTAATTTCAGACCCCGAACAAATTAACCTCAAGTCGCAGATAGGTATATACAGAGATGTAGACATAGGTACAGATATTTCTCTATCAAATGCCTTACTAATTCATATATCAAAAACCAAGGAGATAGATTTCTTTTTCCAATTTTCTCCAGCTGGTTGTTTAAATATAATTAGTCTGATACTCATAAACTACAGTCACAAATCAGTCTCATTGCATTAGTATAATTATATTGTATATAATTAGGGGTTTACATAAACATGCAATCAAATACATTTTTAAAATTACAGCTGAAAACGGCTACTTTTGTTTATATGTGTAAAGTGTTAATAAAGTGTTTCTCCTCTTTTAGTCTCAGGTTCTTTTTTTAAAAAATCAGGGTACTAGTAATATTTACCTCATATAGATACTGTGAGGGGTAGTATAAAATAGAGTATGTACAGTGCTCGATAATGTGGCAATCTCATTGTTACTGCTCATTAATATTATTTGAATCTGAATCTAAAACTCATCAGTCTGGATGTCCAGACTATTTATATTTTTCTTCTTTTTCTATCAGATACCACTTAAAATAAAATGTGAAGCTATATCACATATATATGGAAATTTTTATTTTTTTATTTTTTAAATTGCAATGGTATTTTCAAGTCATAATTTTTTTGGTTATCTAAATAAAGAGAAAAGGAAGAAGATGTGGCAGCAAATGACAAATGATGCTGTAGAATTAATAAATGTTGCCCAAACAAGCTGTGCAAGGTGATCCATTCAAGGGAAAAATACTGAAAATTCTGTTTAAATTTTAAATAATATTTTGAGACTTTCATGTTGATGCAGCTTAAAGGAATCAGAACTCAAATATTAGAAACTCTCCCTCAAAGTCCAAACAAATTTCTTGGAACTACCTCAAAATGTGATAAACAACAGGGCATCAGCACACCTGCTCCTACCATTCTTGTTTCTGAGTTTTCCCCAAGGAACAGTACTACTTGGCCAATAGCCATCATTTGCAAAAAGGTTCAAGGCCTCAAACAGACATCAGAACAAGTAGATTCTGGAAGAAAAATATTCTGAAAATATAAGCAAACAGTTAATGCAAAAAAAAATATTTAATAGATAACAGAGCATTTTTTGTGGTTTTTGGTTTGTTTCTGAAACAACAAATTAGCCTAAGTTTCCCAGTCCTTTGGCCTCCTGACTTAAAATATCCATGAAGGGATAGAAAAAAATAATTAAACTTATAGTATTATAACACTTGTCAAGATGATTTAACAGGATTATTTGGAAAAGCATCATTTACCTTTTAAATGAGTCATTTTTCTGTAACTCAAATGTTATATGATTTACTGAGTGTATTTAACCAATATAGACTTCACATGTCTTTCATATAAAATAGAAAATTTACAAACAGCCAGTACTATATTTGAATACATTTTTTGTTTCCTTCAACCAAGAGTGGAACATTTAAAACCTTTTTTCAATTAATCACTTTTTTATTTTTTCAATTAATTTTTATTTTTTCAATTAATCACTTTCTCATTCTATTTTTCAATTAATCACTCCTATCTACTGGTTTCTGGAAATCACTTAAGGAAGGAAAAACTCTGAACTCATTTCCATTTATTCTTTTATTATAGTTTAGCTTCTAAAACATTTTATTCAATCTCTATTTTACAATATTCCTGAGAAGGACCTTATTGTCTTCAGCGAGCTTGTTTATTTAATTTTTTAAGAAATAAAATGCATTCTTATCACAATTTGAATATACATTTTTTAATAAAAGAATTTAGAGTACAAGAAGTTACAAAGACAGCACGGAAACGGTTCATGTAACCATAACCCAGCATCACTCATTGGTTATGTCTTAGTTATCTGTTGTATATAATACCTAATACCGAGCCCAGGAAATTCCATAAGATATATGTGCACTTCTATGTAATTTAATGACGTGTAGATCTATGTAACTACCACTGCAATCAAGACATAGAATGATTCCCTTACCTCAAAGATCTCCCTCATGCTACTCCTTTTTAGTCCTATCCACCTCCTTCCACCCACCTATTCAAACTCTTGCAATCACTAATACATTCAACATCGCTATATTTTTGCCACTAAAAGAGTGTTATATAAATAAAAACATACAGTATATGGCCTTTTGAAACTGTCTTTTCTTCACTCAGAATTATGCCCTTGAGATCCATTCTAGACAAACCTTGTGTCACAGTGTGTTCCATTGTATTACTGAGTGATAGTTCATGGTATGCATGTACCACAGTTTGTTAACTATTCACCTATTGTAGGATATTTTGGTTGTTTCAAGTTTAGAGCTATTACAAAAAAAAACCTCCTATTTTATACAAAAAAATGTATAAAATATTGTGTGTAGACATAAGTTTTTATTTCTCTGGGATAGTTTCCCAGAGGTGTCATTGCTAGGTTCATATGTTAAACATATATTTAGTTTATTAAAAAACTGCTAACCAATTTCAAAATGGCTACATCATTTTAGATTTCCATAAGCAATGCATGGAAGATCCAGTTTCTCTACATCCTCACCATAATTTGGTATTTTTTTTCTCATTTTAGCTGATATAATAGACATATGATATGCACAGTTGTGATCTTAATTTGTATTTCCCTAATGGGTAGTTGTGTTGAATATTTTTTCATGCACTTAATTGCCATTCATGTATTATGTTTGGTGAAATGTCTTTTTCTGTCTTTGGCTATACTGTAACTTGTTTTGTTAAAAAAATAGGAAAATGAAGTTCTTAGAAGAGTTTTTAATTGGCTTAGAAGAGCTACCCATTCATATATTATGTTTGGTGAAATGTCTTTTTCTGTCTTTTGCCTACATTGCAACTTGTTTGGCTAAAAAAATAGGAAAATGATATTCTTAGAAGATCTATGATCTAATAGTGAGCAGTATATTCTTTTATGGCTATAAAAATATAATAGATTTATATAGACAAAATCAATATAATGAAATAGTACTCCAAAGGTGTTTAATAATGTCTTTTAATCTTTATGTCATAACGAATTTGGTTTATTAATTAACATAAATATATGACATCATATCTCCCTTCTTGATGGTTTATATCATTTAATTTAAAAAATATATGTATTTATTTAGTTCCTTTTCAATGAATATTTACATTTTCTTATAAATTGAAGCACTAGTTCTTTTTTCTATTTAGACATATTAGAATTCTTTGGACAAACAGCATAAATATATTACATGTTTATAATTTTTGTCTAATTGCCCTCATTTTTTAAAAAAGTGACACTGATGTGCTGTTTCACTAACAACAAACACACATGTGGTAATGGGCATTGTTCTGTACTGTCAAGATGCTCACTCAGAATTAAGATAAACATTTCCTAGATGCAGGAAATAATAACTGTTGATAGTTCACAGCCACCTATGACCATATAATCTAGAGGATTTTATAGTACTAGAGATATTAGAGGAAGGAAAAGATGCAATACACAACTTACAGGCAATCTTATGGTTCGGGAACATGCCTTTTCTTTTGGCAGAGAACTATATAATACTCAAAAACCAGTTCCTACTAATCTGATTGGCCAAAATGAGAAGGCGTATCTGACCAGGTGACATCAAGTAAACATGCAGCCTGAGCTGTCATTCAAGAGCTTGGTGTCTGCAGACCTGTAAAGTCAAAAGGTCCTGACTTCTATGTCATTTGCTGATGCTATTCCAGTTCCTATACATCATCTCACATCAATGGGCCCATAAGATTGATACCCATGATAGCAATAACAACCTACTCATGAATCCAACAGCATGGGCTCCTATTCAACAAGACTGATCTAGTTGCTGTATTGATAAAAGTTAAACTTGTCAGGTAAAGAGCTGCCATAATGTGATACCATCCCTTGAGGGTGGCTATTGATTACATTATACCCGTTCTCTAGTAGCAGAAGCAGTGATTCTTCTTTACCAGAATCAACAAATATTCAGAGTATGGGTTTGACATTCTTGCACCTCTATTCAAGGATATAAGGAGTATCTCATACAGTAAACCTGGTAAACTGCATAGATCAAATCTAAGGCACACACTTCAAAGTAAAGGAAGTGCAAGAGATAATAGGATACACTGGTGCTATCACATTTGTACTGCCAGAATCTACTGGCTTGATAGAGTGACAGAACTGCCTTTTGAAGATACAGCTGAGACTTCAAGTTAGATATATTTCCTATGAATATGGTTAACTATCTAACAGAATGCAGTCTATACTTTAAGTCAACAACCATTATTCTACATATATGGTGCTTCCAATGGGTAAAATACATGGTTCTGTGAACCAAAGTTTGGAAGCAGACATGAGAAGTGCCCTGCTTATAGTCATTCACTGTGACTCACTTGAAGAGTTTGTGCTTTCTGCCCCTTGTTCCCAGAAGAAAACTGAAACAAAAACAAGAAACATTTCCACCAGAGTTTCTGTGTTATATTAAATTTAAATTTTTAACCTATGCCTCCTGCCTGACCACTTTGATCTGATGTCAAGATGAGAAGTCAAGTAAAGGAGTCATAATTTAGACAGGAGTAATTGACCCTGAACATCAGGAGAAGACAGAACTTTTAGAAAATGTTGGGGCAGGGAGGAATATATTTTATATCCACCTGATCAGCCAGGACCTACGCTATCTCATATAATGTTCCTGGACAATTGTTATTATGGAGAAGGCTGAATACAATCTCATTGTACCTCTTTTAAATAAAGTACTTTTTTACTAGGATATTTATATCATCTTTCCTTTTTCTTCATGCTTAAAATATTCAAAATTTATTTTTTATTCAAAATTGTATTCATTATTATTCAAAATTTATTCATTATTTTTTAATGAAAGTGGGTGCTGACAGCCTGCTCTAGGAGTTGGCCTCCTAGGAGAACCCAACATCTAAAGTAATAATTAATAGAATAATGGAAACTGTGGATAAGTAATAACATATTAGTTTATATATTAACTTAAACAGGAGCAGCAGAATGAAGCACCGTAGAACATGCCAGCTCTTAATGTTTTACACGTAATCACATTTTTCCTCTTCTTGACATCATTTTTTTCTCTAGAACATATACCCTATGTATCTTCCTCCAAAGTAGAAATAATCAGACCACAGTTTCTCACTATGTGCACATGAATCATCAGATTCCAGGCAATGCCTGAGAGTCCTCATTTCTGAGAAGGTACCTAGAAATCTGGTCTGTGGATCACACTTTCAGTAGTAAAGACCAGACTTCATATGGAATGACACTGCTGGTTATTTCAGCTGCATATTTTTTTTCTAACTTTTCTAATTTGAGGCTCTACTTAACCTGGACAGTTGGGACTTGAATAAGTACCAGTGACTTTAAGTAAAATCCATAATATATCTTGGATTCATTCTAAATTCTCAGCTCTCCACAGATTATGATTAAAACAATAAAGATACTCCTAATAGTTTTATTGAATTTTTATCCAGAAATATGCCGCCTCTTTTTCTTTATTTAAACACCCTCTCCTCAGTATCAATTTTACCTGATTAAGTTATCAAGAATTTATACATGTAAGTTTCTTATACCTTTTTTCTTCCTAAATAATAAATGGTCACTTTTATCAATACTTTTATCAACACTTCTTTCTTAGCATTGTGTCTTTGGATGAGCATATTGTGTTATCCTTTCAACTATAATATAATCATCTTATTTTGTATCTCTCCATTGTTTTTCCATTATCATGCTCTGCAAGTCCTTACATTAACTATATATTGTTTCATTTTTTCCCTCCATATTCCATATCTGAATATTTATTCCTACATACTTTCCCCTTCCTTTGATCCTCCATTCATTTATTTTCCTCTATTCTGTGGATTACATCTGCAGGCTCTATGTGACATCTCCAATTATTTGATATGAAGTCCACTCTTTCTGATTTCTGGATTTATTTTTTAAGTCTCAGGTTCCATCCTAAGCAACATGGTTCTTCTTTTCTTCTACCTCACTGTTTGATTTCTTATGTCATACACCATCATAACCCACATATTCACACAGATATTCAAGACACAGAACCTTTCCATCACCACAAAGATCTCGTGTGTTGTCTTATTATAGTCTCTCTCCCTCCCTCTCTTTCTCTCTCTTACACACACACGCACACACACCCACACACTTCCCTCTCATCCTCAGTGCTTCATAGTCCCTAGCAACCACTAACATGCCTTCTATTTCTACAATTTTGTCATTTTTTAATGTTACGTAAGTGAAATCATACTACATGCAACCTTTTGGGACTGACTTTTTTTCCCCCTTGGTATAATTCTCTGGATATTTATCCATTGTTTCATGTGTCAATAGTTTGCTCCTTTTTTATTAATTAATAGTATCTCATGGTATGGATGTACCACAGTGTATTTTACCATTCAACTGTTGAAAAACATGTAGACATTTGGAAACTAGACTGTTTCTCTTTTGGGATTATCACAAATAAAGTAGCTGGAAGTATTTGTGCACATGTTTTTGTATGACAATAAGTTTTTTATTTCTCTGGGATAAATGCCAAGGAGTGCAATCATTATTTCATCTGGTAGTTGTATGTTTAGTTTTTTAAGAACCAGCTGACTGTTTCCTAGAGTGGCTATACCATTATACATTCCCACCAACAATATATGAGATCCAATTTTTCCACATCCTCGCCAGAATTTGGTGTGATTTACTTTTTAATTTTAGCCATTTCTATGTAATATCTCATTTACTCACACATTATTTAGATGTGTATTAGTTTTCAAATGTTGAAAAATTTGCCTATCTTTTTGAACTGATTTCTAATGTGACTTAAGAGCATACTATGGATATTTATCTGAGAGCATGCTATGGATGATTTCAATTATTTTTACATTTTTTGACTGGGTGTGGTGGCTCACGCCTGTAATCCCAGCACTTTGGGAAGCTGAGGTGAGCAGATCTCTTGAGCACAGGTGTTCAAGACCAGACTGGGCAATGTGGCAAAACTCTGTCTCTACAAAAGTACAAAAAAAAATTACTCGAGCATAGTGGCCTGCACCTGTAGTCCTAGCTCCTCAGGAGGCTGAAGTGGGAGGATCACTTGAGCCTGGCAGGTTGAGGCTGCAGTGAGCCATGATCATGCCACTGCACACCCTCCTGGGTGACAGGTTGGGACCCTGTCTCAAAAAAAATAAATTATTGAAGATATGATCTACATTATTAAATATTGTGTGGGTACTCGAAAAGAACGTGTTGCTGCTGTTGTTAGATGAAGTGTCCTATAAATGTGATTTAGATCCTGTTGGTTGATAGTGCTGTTGATTTCTATATCCTTGCTCACTCGAGGATTATATCCTCTATATCCTCACGATTTTTTGTTACTATTCTTTCAATGCATGACCTACTTCTCTGTAAATGTGGATAAAATCAATAAAATTAGGAGAGTAATCACAGAAGAGTAATATTTTACTGAGAGAAATGGAGGTTTGGGAAAGCTGAAGAAGTAGGCTCACCTTGCATTGAGAAACTGATATTAATTGTGGGGGCACACAGCTGCCCAAAAGACTAAATATGCCTCCAACTAAAAGCATAAAACTTAGTGAGATTGACCCTTCTATCATTATGTAATGCCCCTCTCTGTCTCTTACCTCCCTTTTTCTCTCTACCCCTCCCCTTCATAAAATAGGTGTTTTAAACAGTCCCTCTGCATACTCTTAGAATCACATCTAACAGGGCAATAATTTTGCTTTAACTACTAATCAATTTAGAAGACATAAGAGCAAAAGGATAGTATATTTATCCATTTTTTCTTTTCTCTGTTCTTTCCTGATGTTCCAATATTTCTTCTTTCATTTTCTTTTCTGTTTAGCAAACTTTCTTTAGCAATTCTTTCAGGGTAGGTCTGCCATCTACAATTATTTTAATTTTCCTTCATCTAACTGTCTTTTTCTCACTTATGAAGGACATTTTTACTGACTGTAGGACTGTAAGTTGAAAATTCTTTTCTTCCAGCACTTGAAAAATATTGTGTCACTACTTCTTGCTTCCATGGTTCACAATGGGAAATACACTGTCATTTACTATTTTCTCCTACAGGTAAACTTTTGCTTCTCTCTCACTCTCAGACAAGATTTCTTTCATAATCAAGACCTTTTCTTCGTTTTTGCTTTTCAGAGGTTTGTCTATATGTGTTTTGTTGAGAATTTATTTGTGTTGAAGTTGCCTGAGGTTTTCTTAGCTTCTTCAATCTGTGAGCACATATCTTTGGTCAAACTTGGAAAAGTTTTCAACTATCACTACTGTGATATATCTTTCTCCCTCTCCTTCTCCCTCTCCCTCCCTCTCTCTCTTTTCCACTGTCCTTCTGAGATTTCCCTGATATGACTGTTATAATTTGCTGCATTCCCAGAGGCCTCTGAAACTGCTTTTGTGGTTTTTTTCCTAGTATATTTTCTCTCCATCATTCAGCTTTGGTAATTTCTATTGTTATGTCTTCTAGTTCTCTGTTTCTTCTGTCCTTCCATTCTACTCTTGAGTTCATCCATGGAGATTTTAACTTAGGTTATTATATCTTTTAATTCTAAAACTTTCATTTGTTTTTTCTTTAGGTTTTCTATTTCTTTGCTTAGAATTCTAATTGTTTTTGTTTCTGTCAAAGAAAACTGTGTCTATAACTGCTTATTGAAGCATTTTTATAATGGTTGCTTTAAAATCTGCCTCAGATAATTCTAAAATCTCTGTTTTCTTGGTATTGACATCTGTTGATTGTCTTTTTATGTTCAGTTTTACATTACATTCTCTTGGTTCTTGGAATAACAAGTGATTTTTCATTTGATATTGGTATTATGGATATTATATAAGGAGACCCTGGAACATTTTTAAACCTTTTGTTTTAGCTGGCTTTCTCTGGTAGCACTTTAGCAGGGAAAGGGAGACACCAGCTTCTTTCTACAAGGTATGAATAAAAATACAACTTCCCCACTCAGCCTCTGTTGACACCTAAGGGGTAGGGATTTTGATTACTGCTGCATGGAGAAGGGAGATTCAGAGCCCTGCTAGGTCTTCTCCATGGATAACTAACTGTATTAGCCTGTTTTCATGCTGCTGATGAAGACATACCTGAGACTGGGTAATTTATAAAGAAAAACAGGTTTAATGGACTTACAGTTCCACATGATTGGGGAGGCCTCACAATCATGGCAGATGGCAAAGGCACATCTTACATGGCAGCAGACAAAAGAGAATGAGAGCCAAGTAAAAGGGGAAACCCCTTTTCAAACCATCAGACCTTGTGAGGCTTATTCACTACCACTAGAACAGTTTGGGGGAAACTGCCCCATGATTCAGTTATCTCCCACCAGGTTTCTCCCACAACACGTGAGAATGATGGGAGCTATAATTCAAGATGAGATTTGTGTGGGACACAGCCAAACCATATTAATCTGCTCCTGGACACTCCCAAATCTCATGTGCTCAACTTTCAAAATAATCATGCCTTACCAACAGTCCCCCAAAGTTGTAACTCATTTCAGAATTAGCTCAAAAGTCCTCAGTCCAAAGTCTCATCTGAAACAAGGCATGTCCCTACTGCCTATGAGCCTCTAAAATCAAAGCCAAGTTGTTTACATCCTAGAGACAATGGGGTAGCAGGCCCTTGCATGAATACACCCATTCCAAATGGGAGCAATAGGCCAAAATGAAGGGGCTACAGGCCCCATGCAAGTCCAAAATACAGTGGGGTAGTCAAATCTTAAAGCTCCAAAACCATCTCCTTTGAAGAGATCCATGTCTCACATCCAGGTCATGCTAATGCAAGAGGTGGGCTCCCACAACTTTGAGCAGTTCCGGCCCTGTGGCTTTGCAGGGTACAGCCTCCCTCCTGGCTGCTTTCACAGGCTGGTATTCAGTGCCTGCAGCCTTTCCAGGTGCATGGTGCAAGCTGTCAATGAATCTACCATTCTGGGGTCTGGGGGATTGTTGCCCTCTTCTCACAGCTCCACTAGGCAGTGCCCCAGTGGGGACTCTGTGTAGGGGCTTCAACACCACATTTTCCTTATATACTGCCTTAGCAAAGGTTCTCCATGAGGGCCCTGTCCTTGCAGCAAACTGCTGCCTGGACATCAGGCAATTCCATATATTCTCTGAAATTTAGGTGAGAGGTTCCCCAGTCTTAATTCCTAACTTCGTGCACCCACAGGCTCACCACCATGGAAGCTGCCAAGGTTTGGGGCTTGCACCCTCTGACATCACAGCCCAAGCTGAACTTTGGACCCTTTTAGCCACAGCTGGAGCAGCTGTGATGCAGGGCACCAAGTCCCTAGGCTGCACAGCGAACGGTAGGGGGTGCACGGGGGTGGCCCTTGGCCCAGCCCATGAAACCGTTTTTTCCTTCTAGGCCTCCTGGCCTGTGATGGAAGGAGCTGCCACAAAGGTCTCTGGCATGCCCTGGAGAAATTTTTGACATTGTCTTGGTGAGTAACATTTGACTCCTTACTACATACGCAAATTTCTGCAGCTGGCTTAAATTTCTACCCAGAAAATGGTTTTTCTTTTCTATTGCATGGTCAGGCTGCAAATTTTCCAAATTTTTATGCTCTGTTTTCTTTTAAAACTGAATGCTTTTAACAGCACCCAAGTCACATCTTGAATGTTTTGCTGCTTAGAATTTTCTTCCACCAGATACCCTAAATCATCTCCCTCAAGTTCAAAGTTCCACAAATCTCTAGGGCAGGGGCAAAATGCCGCCAGTCTTCTTGCTAAAATTCAGCAGGAGTCACCTTTACTCCTGCTCCCAGCAAGTTCCTCATCTCTATCTGAGACCACCTCAGCCTGGATTTAAATCTCCTTATCATTATCAGCATTTTGGTCAAAGCCATGCAAGTCTCTAGTAAGTTCCAAACTTTTCCAATTTTCCTATCTTCTTCTGAGCCCTCCAAACTCTTCCAATCTCTGCCTGTTACCCAGTTCCAAAGTCGCTTCCACATTTTCAGGTATCTTTACAGCAGCACCCCACTCTACTGGTTCTTACATACTATATTAGTCTGTTTATATGCTGCTAATAAAGACATACCCAAGACTGGGAAATTTATAAAGAGAAAGGTTTAATGGACTCACAGTTCCATGTGGCTGGGAAGCCTTCACAATCATCATGGTAGGCAAAAGGCACATCTTACATGGTGGCAGGCAAGAGAGGAGAGCCAAGTGAAAGGAGAAACCCCCTTGTCAAGCCATCAGATCTCATGAGACTTATTCACTACCAAGAGAACAGTATGGTTGAAAACCCCTTCTTGATTTAATTATCTCCCACTGGTTTCCTCTCACAACACATGGGAATTACAGGATCTACAATTCAAGATGAGATTTGGGTGGGGACACAGCCAAACCATACAACTTCCCCATCTTGTTCCTTTACACTTTATGTTCTTAACTTCTCTGACTTCTTTCTGCTTTTCAGTCTTTCTATGTCAGCTTATTGTATCCAGTGTTTTTAGTTGTGATTAGCTGAAAGAAAATAAGAAAAAGTATATCTACTTCACTTTCCCAGAAGTGAAACATTTTATTTGTTTTTAATTTTTGTTATAACACTATACAAAAGCTCACTGCTTTTAGCTGGAGGCATATTTAGTCTTTTGGGCAACTACATGCCCTCATAATTCATATCAGTTTCTCAATGCAAGGTGAGCCCCCATGATCAGCTCTCCCAAACCTCCATTTCTCTCAGTAAAAAATTATTCTTCTGTGATTATTCTCCTAATTTTATTGATCTTATCCACCATTACAGGAAAGTAGGCGATGCCTTGGAAGAATAGTAACAAAACTTAGTAATCCCTTCAAGTCTAAGTTCAACATCAGCTGTAGCCTATGGAGAAATTAACGGGAGTCTTAGTGATGCAGCTTTATATCCTCAGGTCAGCTACTTGACCTCTTGCTATATCTGGAGAAGCAACTGAGATCTTAGCAATCTCATGGAAAAGTAATATTGTCTTCGTACATTTTTACTTTTATTTTTTGAATCAATTGTGCAAAATGCCAAATTTCCATATCTGATTTTGTATCATTTTATAGTCTGCACATATATGGTATAGATATTTCTAGAATCTCCTATACTTTCTGCCTATTGAATATTGTTCTAGAAAGTTATCTCATATGTTGGCATAAAAATTCCATTTTTAACAGAACTCTGTTAATTTTTTAACAGAAATTTAAAAATGGCAACATCACGTTGGTTTATCTGCACTTATTATTTACTTATTTCTCATAGTGCAAATAGAGAAATCTGACTGTGAAACTATAGACTAAAAGTGTTTTGCAGTAGAGGCTCTTTGTTTCTCTGTGACCGGGCTTCATCTCCCTTCCACTGCACTTTGGGGAGCCAGGTCAGACACTACTTGTTGTGGCCTCATATTTGTTTTCATGTTCCTGCTACTACAGTCTTTGAACTTTCCATTCCACAGCAATGAAATGAGCTTTACCTGTGAAGACCATCTTTCTCACTGTTCATCTTTACATCCAGCCTTCATGCTTTCAAATATGAGCATGCTAGTATAGTTTTCTGAAAGTTTTATTTATTTTCTTTTTTGTTGTTTCCTCTTAATTGTCTTTATGTTACTTTCATCACCCTGCTCCTATCTTCAATCTGAGTTGCAGAGTTCTATGACCAATATGATAAGGCTCTCTTAGCTAGTTTACACTTGCTGAAACTACTTCACTAAAAAGTCATAAAGCTATTGCCCTCTTTGTGGATTTTTTTTGAGATTAGTGTTTTGCAAATTGCTTTTATACCAATTGTTTTTTGTAAGAAATCTATTAGTACCCTATTTGTTAGATATATGAAATGCAAATAAATTTTCAGATGTATGGCCATATATTACATAACTAGCCCTCATAAGGGACAATATTGAGTGTTTATAACTGGATTTAGTGATTTCCTTTTCAGCGCATATTATTGGAGAAGGGATGCTGTACTGAAAATAATTCTGTACTTATGAAGTTTGCCATTTCACATACTTTAAGAGAATGTGTGAATGAATGTAAACAAATAATAGAAAATTTGGCTGAAACCCTTAACATACCAATTAGCTAGCAACTTGTCTTAAATGCATATTCTACTGCCTACTCATAATAGAACAGAATTCTACTCCCACTGCCTACTGATGGACATTTTAAAGTCAGGAAACAGACTCCAGAATGCCTGCTGCAGTAACGTCAGATGTGTTTATAAGTAGCACTATTTTCATTTTGGACTTTCAAGTCTCAAAAAGATCATGTGCTTATAGAAGCTCATCACACATGTATAGCTTAGTCAAAAAGAACACTGAGAAAAGTAGTTAGAGAAATCGAGTAATGGAGAGAGAAATATGGAAAAGACTTTTGTCAAAGTGCCATTGTTGTATTATGGTATCTTCAACTGTCTGCACAGCTTAAATTTTCCAAAGAAGTTTGTACTCATGCAGATTTTACTTACTAATTTCTATTAGTATGATTCCTATGAACAAATGCTTAAAAACATTGTCATTTAATCAGACAGTACCTAAGAAGTAAATAAATGAAGTTATCTTTCTTAGCTACCAATAGGAGAGCATTCAGGTTGGATACAAAGTGGCCTCCTGTATCTCATTGAGTCTAAATAGCATTCATATCATGATTTGTCTTGTTCTGGGGAAAGTGAAAATCAATTGCTGAGCCTTTACTGCTTAAATTCCATTGCCATCAAATTCTTGTAAGGTTTTCAGCTTGTGTAAAGGTCTGTATTTGTGGAAACTATTAAAATTAGATTGAAAATGTGCCACAGACCTACCCAGTTTATATTAGGCATTGGCTTCAAGAAAAGTTTTGATATTCATATCATAGTCGGCATGAAATCATAGCAAAAATAAAGAAACATTACAATTAAGTGTTTCAGGTTTACATCCTATTCATCAGAGAAGGCAAGAAAAGATTTAATGCATCAGCCTGCTTAAAATAAGAAAACAAACAGAAAACCTTAACCATGAGAATTATCTATGGAAGTAGAATTTAAAATTAACTGATAAAGACTATAGCAATTATTCTTCAAATTAAATCAGGATTTCAGCACTAAAGAACAAAAGGCAGACACTAATTTAGATAGTTTTACACCTAATTTTCAAGGGGATTGGGAAGAATGCTGAATATCTTCAAATCAATAGGATCAATTCTCCTGACATGTTCCTCCTTGCCAGTGATAAAAGTATAGATAAGAAGATGAGCCAAATTTTATTAGTTTCTGCAGGCACTGTAAAAATATTAACATGAATATAGAGGATGATTTAAAAAAAAAAAAGAACACTCAGAGCTTTTTAGAAAACTAAACTGTCCCATGCTTTGTGAGTCACTTGATTTCATATCTTTAAACTCAGAGCGGCAAATGTGTTGCAAATATAATAGTTTGCTATGGCGAATATCTTCTCTGTCACCTCTAACCAACATCTAAAGTAAATTTTCCCAATGAGGAGCTTGTAGTGGAGTTGCTACTTGTAAAATTAATTTTGTTTAATGATTACTACTACGTGGTATATCTTCTTTTCATCTTGAAAAACTATGTAATTGTCTTTGTATTTTTGTAGATTCTTCACTTCTGTGCTTCAATTCTGTCTTCCAAATTTTACTGCAATTTCTTTGAGGGCAGACATTATTTCCATCCCCCAAAGCATCAAGCAAAATATCTTAAATACAGTTGAACATTAGTTTAATTTAAAACTCAATCTTTAACTGAGAAAATCCATAATAATATATCACAGAATTTCATAATCCTCCTTAATAGCTCTGTGAAATAAATAAACAGTAGATATCTCTATCATATGGAAAATAAAACAGAGACCAATATTTGTAAAAAGGTAAATCATAAATCATAAATCAATATTTTTAAATATCTTCAGAGTTTTTTCATTACCTTTCAGCAATTGTTGCATAATTGGGTTTCGTTTTATGTTTATTTTGTGGTTTATGAATTCTATTTACCAAATAAAAATCTTCACACCCTAAGGAACTTTCAGCTTACGAAATTTGAAAAATGTGATACAAAGCCCTATATTGGCAAAAACAATCTAAGCACCACAACAAAGCATTGCAAAAATAAAAGAAAGAGTATACATTTTATTCAATAAGTCTTGATTTTAGAGAATATTTTTACTTGTATAGTAGTTTACAATAAATATTTTCACAGTTCTTTTAAAAAAAGGATTGCTATATCATAAATCAGGATATCAGCTCTGCCGAGCATAAAATTAATTCTAGTTTACAAAGAAGTCAACAGAAATTTGGGGGATAAAATTAATATAATGCTAATTCTTCAGTTTTCTCTGCCTCTCTATATTAATTAAAAGTCCTGGGATCACTTCACCTCTAGTAGAGCTCCCATAAAGTTATGGTCTCCAAAGAGTAGAATAAAACATGAGGATGACCATAAAACAGTTGGAGTTGCTCTCTCCTTGAAATAAACTTCAAATTTCAGTATATATAGAACCACAATACATAATTCTGTTACTAAAACAAATATTACATTGAGCTCTATAACCTGGCTAGTACTGTACCATCTTGCACCTATAAAATATCATGTTCTGACCTCATATTTGTTTTAAATAATTGTTTTTGAAGCATTTAAAAGGAACATGGAATCAATGCAAAGTATAATCTTCTCCCTATAAATAATCAAGACAATCAGCAGTGATGACAGTTATGTAAATTAATAAATTTAACAGAAAATTAAGACTTTTCTCAGGATTGGAGCTTCTATAATAGTGAAAGGAATACACCTTTTTGTGGGTACATAACTGTGTTTAACTAGGGTTTACCCCCAATGCGCAAAAGTGTGTCTTTTAAATGAGTAGTCATTATAAACAATTTTTATTAATTTATACTCTGACTTGTTTATTGAATGATTTCAATGTATTGGCCATGACTTTCTACAAACAAATGCAAAAAAGCAAATCTGTGTACAACTCACATTGCAGCATCATTGCAGTAGAGTTTCTCAGGAGATATGACATTATTTTCATTAAAGATCTAGTGAGGTAGTGAACCATTATTTATATAAAATTGAATAAGTCTAAGGCTTATGAATCTTTTTCATCAAGGTGCATTGTAACCTTTAACTCTGAAGAGAATAGTGAAAAGATGAAATGCATAATTGGAAATGCAGATAAATATATCCTAGTAATTACAAATGGAGCTATCCTAGGACGTGATCATATTATAACGAGTTGTAACAAGGATAAATTGTGTAATGTTCACCTATTCATGTTTTAGTCATTTATTTACTTACTTATTTATTCCACAAATATTTACTTTAGAATTCATACATTACAGGAAATGCCTTCCTTTGAAAAACTGACAACCTATTGGTACTACAAGAGTACTTATGAATACTGTGCTCTAGAGTAGGATGCAATATAATCTTACACAATTTAATTATAAGACAACACATACATATCTGACCACTTCTTTCCCTGCTCCCTGACTATCTCCTTAGAAGAAAATGCTGTCATCACCAATGTGAACTATTGCAATAACAGTCTCACACCCTTCTATAGTCCTCACAGAATAGTTAAGATGTGTTTTTAAAATAAGCTTAATATTTTTTTCTTCTGCGCTCCAAATCTTGTAATTTAAAAAAAAATCTCCATCTCACTGAAAATTACACAAAATTTCTTACCTTTGCTTACAACGGATAATTCATATTATCCCTCTGACTTCATTTTCATCAGTCTCTCCTTCCTCACTCCATCCATTACTCTGGATGTCTTGCTGCTCCTCAAACATTCTAAATATGCTCCTACCTTAAGACATTTGCACTTACTCTTCCCTGTGCTGACAACACTCTTTTTCCAGGTATTCACCGGACTCAGTCCCTTACTTCCTGCTGAACTCAACTTGAAAGTGTTATCTAAGAAGCCTTCCTTGGTCACTTTATATAAAATAACTCTGATCTCAATTTCTTACCATCTCGCTTAAAATATTAAATTTTATTTTATGCTTAACACAAGCTAACATGAAAAATGCTGTGTTCTTCAATTTAGGGTTTTATAAAGAAGACAATAAATTAAGTATTAATATATGCAACAAATTATGAATGCACTCTGATGTCAATATTTACTTTCTCTCTAGGGATCTGGTGAGACTTCTTTAAACTTAGAATTAATAATGAACCATCACTTTTCCTTTTGCTTATCTGGCTTAATTTAATCCTCTTCTCTTTCTCATGAATTTCCTCTTCGATACATTGTATATTTTTATATTTTTTTGTTTCTGGTCATTTCTATTTGCTGAGTTTTCTTAATTTTACATCTGTAACTATTCAAAGCTCAGTTTTAGTACAGCGTTTATCAATTTATTTCTGTGGTGATGCTTTTCCAATAAATTATGCAAAATTCTGCTGTTTTCTATTCAATAACAAGAAACATCTGTTACATGGCAGACACTGTCCAAATATTGGAGAGTCCTAGAATAATGCACACAGCCAACAATCAAATAGATGGGAGTTAAGCACTACCTCTGAAAATAAAGAGTATCAAAGAGTTTGTGGACATATTTTTAAACCACCACACAAATTAGTTAATAAACATTTAAAGGCATGGCTGATCCCAACATAAAGTATGAGAATTCCTCTGAGGCCATAAACAAAAATAAAACTGAAAGCAGGGAGATAAGGAGCTGTTCTGGGACATTTGCCTATGAAAGAAACCTAGAGAAGGATTATGGAATATACCTGTGAACTCATGTCCCAGCGTCTCTTGCAAGAACACTAGTCTTGTAGCTATGCTTACCAATAGAATATGAATGAAAGTACAGTTGTTCCCCCTTATCTGCATTTTTGCTTTCCATAGTTACATTTAACTATGGTGAAATACAGTCCAAAAATATTAAGTGAAAAATTTCAGAAATAAACAATTCATAAATTTTACATTGTGTGCCATTCTGAGGGTAGCTGATCATAATACTGAAAGACACAATCCCAAATGTCAATATCCTGAAAGATCAAGATCCCAAAAATATCACTCCAGAAATAAAAATGATTTAAAAAATACTTCTAAGACATGTATTAATATTTACATTTTAAAGGGTGATTCATCTGAGAAACATGAAGACATGACAGAATACTTCATAGTTCACTTTACCTGATAAAGTAGGCAATAAGAACAAACATTTCTGCAAGCATAAGCAGATGAACCATATTCATGAAGAAATAGGTCAAAAAGAAAAATGTATCAATGCATATCACTAGCGTTGGTAATTGTGTGCACCTAGCTTTATAACTGCAGTTGTCTGAAATAACATGGCAAATAACCTAAAGTCTTGATGAGACCTATCAAAAACTGCAATGTGTCACCCAAACAGCCGAGATCTTCACAAATTTTATCCTTCTCAAATGCAGATGTCCAAAAAAGGACAATTCTTTGTTTATTGAAGAAGTTTTAACATTTTTACATACATGCACAATGCTTACGCTAAAAGTCAATGTTGTGATAATGCATTTTTATGGAATCAAATTTGCAAAAATGCATAAAACAACTTAGAACTCTCTACAAGTCTCCACACAATTTATAACTCCAGTACTGGGAATGATGCAAAGATTAAATACATAGCATAGCAAATTGCTTTACCAAATTTCTAGGTATTTCTTAATCCAGTCAAGTTGATACCTAAAATTAAGTCCACAAATCCACACCTTGTCGATTTGACACCCATACGCATCTCCTTAAACCACACAAAATTTATAAATTAAGATAATAAGATAAGTTCTGTTTAACATGTGGCAACTCTCCTGTGATTGTAATTTTGGGGATTTTAGACATCAGGGATTTAGACTTTAGGGATTTTGGTCTTTTGAGATTTCCACATATAAGATTATGACATTTGGGATTGTGTCTTTCAGTATTATGATCAAAAATTACATTCTGAGTAGTGCGGTGAAATCTCACATAATCCTGTTTCATCCTATCTGGGAGATAAAATGTCCCTTTGTCCAGCATAATTGTGCTCTAGATGCTACCTGCCAAAAATCAATTAGTTGCCATTTCTGTTATCAGATTGACTGTCGTGGTATTGCAGTGCTTGTGTTCAGGGAACCCTTATTTTATCTAGTAATTACCCCAAAGCATAAGAATTGTGATGTTAACAATTTGGATATGCCACAGAGAAGCCATAACATTCTTCCTTTAAGTGAAAAGGTGAAAGTTCTTGACTTAGGAAAGTAAAACAATTGCATGTTGAGGTTACTAAGAGCTATGGTAAGAACTAATCTTCTAGTCATGAAATTGTGAAGAAGAAAAAGAAATTTTTACCAGTATTGCTGTTGTACCTCAAACTGCAAAAGTTACAGCTACAGTGCATGATCATTGCTTAGTTAAGATAGAAAGGGCATTAAATTTGTGGGTGGAAGACACGAACAGAAACATATTCTCATTGACAGCAATCAGGTTCTGTACCATCCATAGTTTCAGGCATACCCTGGGTGTCTTGGAACATATCACCCATGGAAAATGGGGAACTAATATAATGGGCACATTTTCAATGCCAAGCTGGGATTTATTCTGTCTTCTTCCTTTTTCTCTTTTCACTATGTGGTTGGTAATGAAGAACTCTAAAACGTCAGAGTTGCACAATCAAAGTTTGGATTCCAGAGTAACCATTTGAAGAACTGCCTGGGAGTCCAACTAGCATTGGACTTTGCAGTAGTAAAATATATGCTTTTATAATATCAAGCCTCTGAGATTTCAAGATTCATCCATGACAGAATACTTTGTTCAGCCCAATTAATCCAGAAATTTGATTCATTTAATCCAGAAATTAATCCACTGCTTTGGGGTAATGTTCTTCTATAACAAAAACATAATGTATGTGGCAATGGCTTAGTGCAGTGGTCGGTAAAACCTTTTCTTTGAGGGGTCATCTTATAGACTTTGAAGACTATATATATATATATGGTCTCTATTGTAACTACTCAGCTCTCCTGTAGTCAGCCATAGACAATACATAAATGACTAAACAAGGCTATGCTCCAAAAACAGGCCAGAGGGCAGATTTGCCCCATAGGCAGTAATTTTCTGGTGACAAAAAAAATTAATAATGAAGGATGGGAATGTTGTGATCCATGTTATGCAGTGACAAAACATTTAGCAAAACCGTTACTGCCATGACATGGGAGGCCAGTTAGGTGCCTACTGAGTTAGGAAATCTACCAAAAGTTGTTTCAAAAGCAGAACGTTAGTGTGTGTGTGTTAATACAGGCTAAGTGTAACAATGTATAGAAAGAAAGGAGTTTAAAAAAAAAAGGATGCATTATTCACAAGTAAATATGAAAAGAATATCAGGGACTTGAAGTGGAGAAGCTGAATAATTTCAGATCTCAGTAAAATAGATGAAATTTTATATGCCTTTGGGCAACAAAGATCTAGAAAAATTACTCATTTGCATAAAATAAACTGGGAATCACAAAACCAGATTTAGAAAATGACCTTCACAATCACACCATTAGCAGCAGCTGAGTTGAGGGAGAAACAAGGAAACTGAAAAGCAAAACTGAAATGGCCAAAAGCACATGTATAGGTGCTTACTAAATTTGGGGGGATCCATATTGTCAAATAAAGTATAAACACAGATTAATTAAAAAAAAAAAAACTTTAGGAAGAAACTTCAAGGTACCTGTAGGCAATAAATACTGTGTAGTAAAAACAAACTAACAAAACCCACAACAACAACATACTACCTCTCTGAATCTCTTCCCAGATGACAGGAATTAACTACGCTGAGCATTTATGAAACGTCTATGCAAAACCACACCCTCAATATTAACAAGAGTAAAAGACAAGAGAATAAAAATGACTGTGAAGAAAAGAGAAAATACAAGGAATATTAGTGCTGCAGTACATGTCCCTGCCCATCCCCATGCATGTCAGAGCTCTGTGGCAAGCAAAAGCAGAAAAAAATTGCAAGAAATATAGAGGAGGGATACCAGCTAAGGAGCCTGAGGGTGATTTGAAGCAACCATTGACAGGAAAGATTAAATCTACACTGAATTTGAAGATACCGGAGAAGAAAAAATAAAAAAAAAAAAGCAGATCATACAACAAACTGCAAGGAAGGGATTTCAAAGTGCATGCTCTCAAAGAACCAAACACCATAGAAAGAGATAGATGCAGGATTTAAAGAGACAGAATATCAGGCATCCATTTTAAAAAGGCAAACTATTTAATGTTTTAAAACCAAAAGAGAACCCCTCCAAAAATATATAATTAAGAGAAAACACACACAATTAACTTCTAAGGAGAATAACATTCAAAAGAAAGGGAAGAGAATCCTCTGTCAATTAGGTGGTGAAAGAGAAAACAAGAAAAAGTGAAAAATTCAGGGCTCTGCAAGACCAAAGGATGTAAAATCTGAGTACCAACAACCCCTCATTCACTTCCAAAACCAAACAACCAACCACTGCTGAGCTACCAGTTCTTTGCCACACTAACAGAAAATGGTGCAATTAAGATGAGAATCATGTAAGCCACCTGGATATCACTAAAAATGAACACAAGAAAACAAATCTATAGAGAACTAATGCAGAAAATCAGTCAAAAATGTGCATGCAACTTAAATGAGTTGCACCTTACATTAATACCTGGCAAAATATCAAGCAAAAGAAAACTGTAAGTCTGCACTCCAAACAGCAGTAAAAGTATTGAAACAAGTATTTGAAAATATGGAAAGCCACCTTGAATCAGAAATTAAAACTAAAAGTCAAAACAAATAAAAACAAGGAGAAATTATTTTTTTAAAAAAGCATAAGTTACAGCCAACCAGATGATAACTGGGAAAATTTCAGAAAAAGATAGTGAGCATTTTAAAAAATATGAATATATATGTGTATATATATATAAATCCCATGAGGGAAAAACAAATATATACATATTATATACTCTAATAACATAGAAATAATACGACTAAAATTGAGGGGAGATGAAAGAGGAAAAAAAAAGAAAACATGAAAAGCTAACTATTGTATAAGCAATAGGTATATATTAAATAATGCTCCCCACCAAAAAAATACCTGATAATGCAGATAGTACAATATTAAGCAAACAGGGGACTAAAGTCATCAGAATAGATAAAAGCGCAAAGGTAGTCCTGACAATAAACCTTTCAACCTTCTTGAACACCCAATTTTATTAAATAAAAAGGCAGAGAATGCATATCCTATAGATAAAGAAACATACCACATAAACTGCGCATAATTATAAATTGCAGTTGAAACTAAACCTATCAGTCCTAGAAACAAATGTAAACAGGCTTAATTTCTCCATTAAGAGAAAAAAAGTATTTTCAATTTTGCATACAGAAACACACGCACACTCACACTGTCACAATATTCTCAATGTTAAAAAGTAAACTATCCAGTAAGATCTGACAGAATAAGCTTTATATTGTAAGCAGCTAACACATTTGTGACCTTTGTGATTTTAAAAAATTTCCCTTTTGTCCCACGGGGTATTTTACTTGTAACTTCATAGTCAGAAAATGTAACTACTGAGCTTCATAGATTAATCAAGGGAAACATATGATAATGCAGGGTCATTAGTTAGGTATTCCCAAGCTAATTCAGCAGCCATTATTTTCAACTGAGTATTGATGTCTTTTTGGGCAACAAAACACTTTTGATTTATTTAGATATATTTGGCTGTCTCACCTAAGACTTGCAAGATTCAGCCTCCATATGCACTTCCATCTCCTTTTCTGCACCATGCCCAATCATAAATGTTCTGTTTTTGTTATATATGTCTTTCCATCTGTCATTAAAATAATACAGTCATTTCACTTTCTTTTTCAGTGGCGCCTGGGTCATGCTGGCGTTGGTGTTGTAATCATTTGGACTTTCTTTTTCTGAACTCTTAGAAAACATGGCCTCCATAATCCCAATGTTAGAAAGTAAACTAGCGCTATCTCCATACAAACTACAGCAGTTAATTCACAGTCAAAGTCAAAGAACATCTGCTGGCATTCACAATTACAACACAGTAAAGTTGCACACTTAAAGTGGTATCATCTGAAGTGATAAAACAATGGATAATCATTGCTGTGAACTGCAAAACATGGTTGCCCCATCAGTCACCAGAAACACCACCAGAAACAGTGATTACAGCCCATGGATACTCTAAACTGCATTCATTTGACACTAAAATGGAGGACTAAGATGCTTCTAAAACAGAATATATTCAGAAGAAAAATTAAATTTAAAAGTATGTCAGGACTCATGCAACAAAACCTCTTGGGTTTAGGCTTCTGCCACTTTTTATTGAGAGTAGGGCTGCAAGAAAGAAAACTGAAAAATATCCATTTCATAAATAACTCTGGGAAATTTAGGATCATGAAGACACACTAGTATATACCTCTCTAACAGAGTGCAACACAAAAAAGAGTGAGGCATTGTCCTTTGGTAGAGAACACTTTGTAGCTCAGATGAGTTACCTCATTATATTGGATAGAAAATGATTCTACTCTGCCTTAGAGTTTTTCCAGAGAAACAGAAAATACTAAAAGGTTGAGGGAAAGCAGTAGAATAGAACAAGTCCAGGGCATCTGAGCACCTGCACATGGCCTCCCGGAGTCTCAGCTGGGAGTGAGTTAGCAAGAATGTAAGAAATAGTAGCCAGACACCCTTAAGAAAAAAACAGCAAGGTTTGATGTAGGTGGTAGTGCCTGGTAGAACCTCAAAGGTGCCCATCCGCAAAGGTCATGAACAGACACTTTTCAAAAGAAGACATTCATCTGGCCAACAAGTGTTTGAATAAATGCTCAGCACCACTAATCATTAGAGAGATGCAAATAAAAATGAGATACCATCTCACAACAGTCAGAATAGCTATTATTAAAAAGGCAAAAATAACAGATGCTGGTGAGGTTGTGGAGAAAAGAAGATGCTTCTGCACTGCTGATGAGAATATAAACTAGTTCAGCTATTGTGGATAGCAGATTGACGACTTCTCAAAGAACTTAAAACAGAATTACCATTTAATCCAGCAATCCCATTATTGAGTATATACCTGAGGGAACATAAATCATTCTACCATAAAGACACATTCTTGCATATCCTCATCACAGCACTATTCACAAAAACAAAGACATGGAATCAACCTAAATGCCCATCAGTGGTAGGCTGGATAAAGAAAATGTGGCACGTATACACCATGGAATACCATGCAGCCAAAAAAAGAATGGGATCATGTCCTTTACAGGAACATGCGTAGAGCTGGAGGTCATTATCCTAAGCAAACTAATGCAGGAACAGAAAACCAAAAACTGCATATTCTCACTTGTAAGTGGGCCCTAACATTGGGTAGACATGGACACAAAGGGAACAACAGATACTTGGGTCTACATGAATGTAGAAGGTGGGAGGAGGGTGAGGATCAGAAAAGTACCTATTGGGTACTATGCTTATTACCTGGGTGACGAGATAATTTGTACACAAATCCCACAGCATGCAATTTACCTGCATAATAAACCTGCACACATACCCTTGAACCTAAAATAAAGGTCCAAAAAATTAAAATAAGATAAATAAATTAACATGGAACACTACAGCAATGAAAATGAATGATCTGAAGCACGGGGTTCCTGTCCTTTCTATGACCTTTTAAGAACCAGGCCACACAGCAGGAGGTGAGTGGCAGGTGAGCCAAGGGAAGCCTCATCTGTATGGACAACAGCACCTCATTGCTCACATTACCACCTGAGCTCCACTTCCTGTCAGATCAGTAGCAGCATTAGATTCTAATAGGAGTGCAAACCCTTTTGTGAACTGCACATGCAAGGGATCTAGGTTTTGTTCTCCTTGTGAGAATCTAATGCCTGATGATCTGTCACTGTCTCCCATCACCCCCAGATGAAACTGACTAGCTGCAGGAAAACAAGCTCAGCGCTCCCACTAAATCTATATTGTGGTGAGTTGTATAATTATTTCATTATATATTACTATGTAATAATAATAGAAATAAAGTGCACAATAAATGTAATGCATTTGAATCATCCTGAAACCACTCCCCACCCCTGGTTCATGAAAAAATTGTCTTCCATGAAAACCGGTCCCTAACGGCAAAAAGATTGGGGACCGCTGATCTGAAGCATTGGTATTAACATGATTATATTAAAAATACATACTGTTTAGTAAAAACTTAAGTTATAGAAGATCATACACAATGTAATACCAATTATATACAATGCTAAACTAGGAAAAGCACTATATACTGTTTAGGAACATAGATATATTTGGTAAAAGTATGACGTCATGCAAATAAAAAGCACCAGATTCAGGGTTGTGGTACCTCTGGGAAAAAAGGGAATGTGATTGGAGAAGGTTACACGAGAGGCTTTACCTGTGTTGGTCATGTTTTATTCTAGAGCTGTGTGATGGGTACACAGGTATTTGTTACATGATTCATTGTGGCTCTTTGTAAATGTAAATGTTTCATGATATAAAATGTAAAGGTAATACATATTCCTCATGAAACTAAAAGAAAAAAAAAAGATGCCCATCCAAACCTAGAGTGACAAGCAGATGACCTCGCTCTAGATTAACGTTATGTACTTATGACAATTCATACAGATATTTCCTATTTTCAGTGGTTTGTGAAATAAAATTATTGCTATTTTTTTCTCCTTCTCTGGCCATAAATTAGTAACTTGGTCTGGTGAGATGCTTCTTCAAGTTGATGCTAATTCCCATGGAAGCGGCAGCGTACAGGGTATAAGTAGCATGTGGAGAGCTGGGCAGGAGATCAAGTTCCTTTTGATGAAAGTCTAATGGTTTTCCGCAACCTCAGAGGAAATCAGTTGCACGTCAGTGATGTGGAATGAAATGTTTAATGAAGCTGTCAATGCGGTTGCCAGACGATCCTGTAGGTCTTCCGTGTGTGGCCACCCTTCTTAGACACTGCAGATGATTCTTCTAAATTGTTGCTGGATTTAAAGGGGTATAATTTTCCCAAGTGTTAACTATTCTTTGCAATTACTCTTGGGTACATAAAGTTATCAGGGTAAGAAAATTAATTTGATCAGGTTTTTTTATATAAAGTTTAAAGAAAACCTTTAAAGTGAAATAGTTGAAATCAGTAAAGCTTATCCTTTTTTTTCAAGTAATATAACATTCTTTATGAGTGCCCACATAATTCGTTTACATGACAGAGATTATTCATTTCATTAGCTGGTTACTATATTTTTTATTTTAAAAATGTTGGTTAAATTTCTCATGTTTCTCTGAATATTTTAAAGTATCTGATTGTTATGCTAATGTTTCTGATTTCTAGCAGAGTCAAATACAATTTTTTATAGAACCTGTTTAAAGATATTCATTTCTTCAATAACAAATATATGTGTGTGTGTGTGTGTGTGTGTGTGTGTGTGTGTATTCCAAGCACTACTGCATCTAACTTAGGCATTAACTCAATAGTATATTTTTAAAACCTCAATTTTTATATTGATTGAAAATATTTCCCACCAATCAATTGGGGAAGTAGTAGAAGAACCTATAGAAAAACAGAAAGGCTGAATGAGAAAAAAACAAGAATCAGAGTAGGGCCAGGACTTTGTAGACTATTAAAACATTTGTGGATTTCTTACCCCAGCCTCACCTATGTTATTGCATGAAGGATGTCATCCTCAAGAATTCTAAAGCTAAATATTTAGTTGATGAGTGTTTAAATAGGTATTAATGTCCTTGGAGTGAAGCACCCACTACATTAGTCACTGTTCAAAGTGTCTATAATTCACTTGGGCTGGTTATCATCACACACCACTTCTAGTTAGCAGAAGTGAATGCTCATTAGCAGGGCAGAATCAAGTCACCTTGCCTGAAATTTGAATCATGACTCTCCTAGTTAATTGAGAAATACATTGGCCTCTCTTTGCCTTTATTTCCTCAATTTAAATATGAATAATAATAATGGTTACATCATAAAATTGTTTTTAACATTTATTAAGTTGATATACCTAAAATATCTCAAACATGACCTGGCACAGAGGAAATTTTATAAAGCATTAGCTTTCTATGATTAAGATGTAATTAAAATGCAATAAAAGATTGTATACCATCTCACAAACTAAGGAGAATCAATTTCCTGAATGTAACTCTATTTACATATGATATAATCTCTCGGAGGATTTTTGTTGAATAAAATCACATATATATGCTGACAGAAACGTGAATATCTGGTTCACTCCCAAATTTCATTAAGAATGTCGGGGCATGAAGCCCGTAAATAAACATAAATTTGTTTTATTTTGCTTTGCTTTATTTACTTCATTTGAATAGTGGTTTTCTCTTGGTACCTTTGTTTATAAAAGCTACCTGATATTCCTAATACCTCAAGAACTTTCCTGATAGGATCCAGCACACTGATATGTAGAGGATAGACATTATTTTTCTGCAAAGCACTAGACTGACTATTCTAAGTACTAAACATACTGTATCATGACTGCACCACTTGCCTAGAGTGATGGAAGGGTAATAGAACTGGGATAATACTGAGCAATTTTTAGAAACTTCTTAGCTTTAAAAATATTTCTGAATATTTTTTTTTTCTGGCTGGCTACTGCCTAGACTGAGATCTTACCTAATATCCATAGCATAGTAGAAGACATAAGCCAGTAACATTTCCTGTAATTGTAATGGTTTAAAAAATCTTAGACTTGTTCTCTATTCTTGTATATTACTCCTGGAACCAGGGGGTCAAAAGTTACATCAATACATAGAATAGATCTAATACCTGTAATGATGAATAGAATTTCATCAAAATAAGAAACTTATACATTCTGAAAGATACTGTTAGAAGAATAAAAGGACAAGCCACAAACTGGGAAAAATGTCTGAGAAGCTTATATATGATTAAGGAGTTGTATGCAAAATACATAAAGAAATCTCTAAGCCCAATAACAACAACAAAAAATAAACTCAATTTTGGGGGGTAAAAATTTGAGCATGAGCTTAACTAAAAAAGAAAGTGATTGTGTGGCAAATACACACCTCCAAAGATGCCCCGCATAATTCCTTAGGAAATACTAATTAAAACCACATTAAAATAATATTACAATTATTAGAATTGTATTAGAATATATTAGAAATGTCTAAAATTAAAAGTCTGACCCTATGAAGTGTTGAGAATATAGAGAAACTGTAACTCTCAATACACTTGTTGGGAATTTAAATAGTGCAATTTCCTTGAGAAACAATCTGGCAGTTTCTTTAAAAGCTAATTATGCATGTATCATATGGTCCAGACATCCTACTTCTAGGGATATACCTGAGAGAAAAATAAAGCAAATATCCATGCAAATACATGTACACTTATGTCCACAGCAGCTTAATTTGTAATAGCCAACACTAGAAACAATCATCTGTTCATTAACAGATAAATCTGATAAAGCAATTGTGGCATATTCATATTCGTTAATAGTGAATAATACAATTCACTATCAGCAATACAAATAAATAAACTATTTATATATGCAGCAACATGGATCTAGCTCCAAATTATTATGCCAAGTAACAGCATCCAGAAAAAAGATACATGTTATATTACACAATTTATAAAAGTTCTAGATATAAAAACTAATCAAAAGTGACAGCAGATTAGTGGCTGTCTGGGAATAGGAAGGGAGTAGGAAGGAGGGATTAGAAAATGGTCCTAGTAAACTTTCCTGGTGATGGAGCTGTTCACTTCTTGATTGTAGTCATAGTTTCATGGGAGTACATATATATCAAAACTTATCAAATGATGCTATGTAATTTGTTCAGCTGATTATATGTTAAATATATCTCAATTAATATTAGGAAAACAAAAACTTAAAGAAACAAGTTTTGAGGTAAATGGAGGAAGAGCTCTTTAAAATATGCCCAGTGTGGCCAAGTAATTATTTTCATATGATTATGTTTAATAACCATTCCTCAGAACTACAATTTCACTTAATTCAATGAACATTTTTTTCAAACATTATTGAGCATTCTCTCAGTGCCAGATCTGTGCTAGAAGCTGATAATTTAAAAAGGCAGTAGTGTTATGCGGACTATTTTAGCATACTGGTTAACAGCACTGATTTACAACCACACTGACCTGGGCTTACTACCCAGCACCACCCCTCCTCACCTGAATCATCATGGGTCCAGTACACAAACTGTCTAAGCTTTAGTTTCTTCTAGTGTAAAAGCAGATGAAATGTGATAATGCATATAATATGCTAAATAATGCTTAGGGCATGGTATGTGTTCAATAAATTATTATTATTGCTATATTACCATTAAAGAAACAATGTTCTCAACCACCTCATCAAGACTTCAGAGAAGTAATAGAAAAAAAGTTATTTAGAGATTAAAGATTTTCATAGGCTTAATTCTAACCACAGAAGCTGTAATAATTTGTCAGTCTACAAACATACTTTCTGGAAATTTTCTACTTTAATATCCCATTCTTCAGTGGCCAAAGAAACCCAATATTCCTTTAAAATGTTAAAACAGAACACATGAAACCAACTAGTGATGTCTCAGTTAGCAAGCGGCAATTCAATTACCCACATGCAAGATGAAGAAAATAAAATCCTGAAACCTGTTTTTAAAGGCCTTCTGTAAAATGTAGCAAAGATCAGCTGGTGTTTTAAAGTTGTGACTAAGCCAAAACATCTAATACACTTTCAAAATGCTTTTTTTTTTTAAATTTCAATTAGGACATAGAATGTCTCTACCGGCAATCTTCAGAGTTTTCTCAACGATGTCTACATTTTAAACCATAAAATGATTGCATTGCTGATCATCTTTGAGGTAAACAGAGTGAAGAAACAAATAGAAGAATAAAACTCTCCTTTGAAGTATGTTTTTCCCTTGAGAACATCAGCAGGGGAGAGATACTCTGAAAGACTCATGTTAAATGAAGCGTTAATGGGTGCAGCACATCAACATGGCACATGTATACATATGTAACAAAACTGCACGTTGTGCACATGTACCCTAAAACTTAAAGTATAATGATAAAAAAAAAAGACTTAGCCTTGGCTGCCATGCAGATTCCATTATCTCTAACTTCAGAATTTCCAGGCTAATCACCTATTTTAGTGGCCAGGAAAGGACAATCATCAGAGGCAAAAATGTTTTTGTAAAATAATTGATTCCTACAAAATACTGTTTTCAAGACAATACCTTTTTCAAATATGTAAGCTCTTTGATGTCAAGACCTAGGGATGGTCCAAAAGAGTAAACAGTAATTTGGTATTTTAAAGTTGGATTACTCACTGCCTGATTAAGTCATCCCCATGCCGTCACCCTCTATCACTCGTGGAGCACAAATAGCTCCTGGCACTCTGATTGTGAGAGCTTTTTCTGGTGTTGAATTGAGCTATTACACTGGCCAAGGGAATGCATTACCTGGGTACAACATTATCAGGCATTTGAAACTTACAGAGGAAATAATTACAGATGCAGTAGGATTGATTGGCTTATTCTAAACTTCATTGATATTATTGAGAAAGATAAAATGAAACGCTGAAGGCAGTTTTAAAGCATTTTAAAACCAAGTATGACAGCCAGAGAGCCTATTTGGTAGCATACAAGGCTCTCATCTCTTATATTAGGAGTGTAAAAAAATTATTATATCCTAGGCAGAAGGCCAAGCACAGGCTATAATAGTTTGAGTGGCTGAGATTTAAAAGGCTAAATTGTTACTGAAACACCAGAGTTTTAGTCTAGGTCCTGTTGCTCACCACATAGAAAGCCAATCACTGAGACAGTGAGTATTTCCAGGGAAGAAGCTTTCATTTGGATGTTGCAGCCAGAGTATAAGAGATGAGTCTCAAATCCATCTCCCCAGCTGACTGACTTGCTATATAAACCAGGCTTATATAGCAGGGAAGAAATGTAGCTATGTTTCAGAAAACAGGAATTAGGTAATAAAGAGATGGTAATAGTCAGCAGGTGCTGGGTTAGGCAACCATGCCAGATGAGGGTTCTGGTGTCTCATTGTCCGCATGCAGTAATCTGGTGAGTTTCAGTTCCTTGATACTATCAGGGATCCTGATGGTTTGTTTCCTGATAAAGGAACTTAGATAAAACAATTTTAAGTTTTTCAGTTTTAAGGCCAGGAGGATCAAGTTCTATGTTTACTCAAAACCTGTAAACATCAGTTGTATGGAACAATTGGGCTGGTTTCAAATTGGTCAAGCCAGGCAAGTCATGTAGGTAAACATCAGAGTCTTGGTTGGGAAAACTTGGAAGCCTGACACATGGAAGGGAAACATCTGGAAAAAAAATATCCTATGATTGTAGGCACTCCAGATTCCTCTGAAACTTCTAAGCCTGTGGAAGTGGCTGGCATCCAAAAAAGAGCCCACATCGCCAAGTCAATCCTAAGTCAAAAGAACAAAGCTGGAGGCATCACACTACCTGACTTCAAACTATACTACAAGGCTACAGTAACCAAAACAGCATGGTACTGGTACCAAAACAGAGATATAGGTCAATGGAACAGAACAGAGCCCTCAGAAATAACACCGCATATCTACAACTATCTGATTTTTGACAAACCTGAGAAAAACAAGCAATGGGGAAAGGATTCCCTATTTAATAAATGGTGCTGGGAAAACTGGCTAGCCATATGTAGAAAGCTGAAACTGGATTCCTTCCTTACACCTTATACAAAAATCAATTCAAGATGGATTAAAGACTTAAACGTTCAACCTAAAACCATAAAAACCCTAGAAGAAAACCTAGGCATTACCATTCAGGACACAGGCATGGGCAAGGACTTCATGTCTAAAACACCAAAAGCAATGTCAACCAAAGCCAAAATTGACAAAAGGGATCTAATTAAACTAAAGAGCTTCTGCACAGCAAAAGAAACCACCATCAGAGTGAACAGGCAACCTACAAAATGGGAGAAAACTTTCGCAACCTACTCATCTGACAAAGGGCTAATATCCAGAATCTACAATGAACTCAAACAAATTTCCAAGAAAAAAACAAACAACCCCATCAAAAAGTGGGCGAAGCATACGAACAGACACTTCTCAAAAGAAGACATTTATGCAGCCAAAAAACACATGAAAAAATGTTCATCATCACTGGCCATCAGAGAAATGCAAATCAAAACCACAATGAGATACCATCTCACACCAGTTAGAATGGCATTCATTAAAAAGTCAGGAAACAACAGGTGCTGGAGAGGATGTGGAGAAATAGGAACACTTTTACTCTGTTGGTGGGACTGTAAACTCGTTAAACCATTGTGGAAGTCAGTGTGGTGATTCCTCAGGGATCTAGAACTAGAAATACCATTTGACCCAGCCATCCCATTACTGGGTATATACCCAAAGGACTATAAATCATGCTGCTATAAAGACACATGCACACGTATGTTTATTGCGGCATTATTCACAATAGCAAAGACTTGGAACCCACCCAAATGTCCAACAGTGATAGACTGGATTAAGAAAATGTGGCACATGTACACCATGGAATACTATGCAGCCATAAAAAATGATGAGTTCATGTCCTTTGTAGGGACATGGATGAAATTGGAAATCATCATTCTCAGTAAACTATCGCAAGAACAAAAAACCAAACACCGCATATTCTCACTCATAGGTGGGAATTGAACAATGAGATCACATGGACACAGGAAGGGGAACATCACACTCTGGGGACTGTTGTGGGGTAGGGGGAGGGGGGAGGGATAGCATTGGGAGATATACCTAATGCTAGATGACGAGTTAGTGGGTGCAGCGCACCAGCATGGCACATGTATACATATGTAACTAACCTGCACAATGTGCACATGTACCCTAAAACTTAAAGTATAATAATAAAAAAAATAATAAAACATAAAATAAATAAATAAATAAAAATAAAAATTACAAAAAAAAAAAAAGAAGTGACTGGCATCTTTTATTAAGAGCTACCACTTCTCCATGCTGGAAGACAATGCAGAAGCCTCTTCCCCTCAAGGAAACAAATTTCCCCCTAAGGATCTTTCCATCTCTCTTTCTGACAACTAGGCATATATCTAAGGTTAAATTATGGCATAGGCTGGTTGGGGACATACTGAGGCTAATAAGGTAGGAAAGGTCCTATATACATATAAAAAAAAAAAAAACCTGCAAGACCTATTGTACCTACAAGAGCTGGGAGAATATGCCTGAGAATAGATTCTAAGAGTGTTTTTTCAAGGAGTCCATGACAAAAAAAAGAAAAAAAGTGAATATGGAAGAGCTAGAGATGTGGAAGCACTCTGCTGGATATAGGATTTTTAACAAGCAAAGACCTTAGGAGATGATTCCTCATAACATGGAAAAAGTGAAGAGAAGGCTTACGTTAAGTGAAGTTTAATTGTCATGACAGATGGTGAAAGAGAAAATTTAAAGGCTCAGATATTGGGCACTCTTGAATAAATATGCTATAAATGTTCAGAACATTCACCAGACGATTTTGTTCTGTAGGAAAACACAGAGCCACATAGGATGATGCTGGGTAAGAGGCATAAAAGAGTTAACTAGTTATTCTTCTCTGTAGACCAGAGCTGAAGGTAAGAGAGTCCATTACAGAACTTGGCTTGCTGAGAGTAGTATGGAGGTCATAAGACACTTAGCATTCAATAAGAGTACTACTAAGCTTGTACAAGAATGAACAACTGTGAGAGAGAAAGTTGGTCATGCCAATAAGAAGTCTTGAGACATTGTCCAGTTCACAGCCCTACATCATTTTGTAGACCTGGAATCCTTTGCTTGACTGAAATCTTTTCATACCTGGAACGCTTCGCTTCCTTCAAACTAGAAGGATCCTGCAAAACCATAGCAGGTAAACATGATAGCGTTTCCTCAGTCCTTCCCCAATAGTACTTATGGCCTTTTATTCAGGTAATTGTATACCAGAAAAAAGAAAACACCTATATATTTCAAGGAATGTTAGAAAGAGGATCTGAATTGATATTAACAACTAGAGAAGCAAAGTGTCATCTTGGTCCTGCTGCTACAGTGGGGGTGGGGGGAGTACATGAAAAACCTTTTAAAAAACAAAATCCTGGACAACTTCTGACTTCATATGGGTGTCCTGAGTCTGTGGATCCACACAGTAAGCATTTCCCCAGTTCCTGATTGTATAATTGAAACTGATATGCTTGGTAGATAGTGCAACTTTCACATTGAGTTCTTGGCCCACGGAGGAAGAGCTATCATAGGTAAAACACAAATGGAAGCCTCTAATACTACAGTTTGTCAAAATAGTAAATCCAAAACAGTATCTGGATACAGGCAGCAGAAATTTGTGCTGCACTTAAGCATCTGAAGGATTTGGATAGAGTATTAATTCATTATCATCAGTTTTGATTATTACTAGTTTTGTGTTTTACCATCTCATTTTTATGTCTATCATCTTCTGATTATTTTCCCATTTTCTGCCTTTTGAGAGCAAAATGGCATTTTCTAATTTCACAGATGGTTTGGAAAATATATTTTTTTCCTAATATTTTAATGCATATCTCTGCATTTTAATGTGCATACTTATTTTTTAAAGTCTAAAGTTATCCATGCTGGCTCCTCCTTCAACATAAAGATGTTAGCAACCTTATGGCGCCCATTCAATATCCTATTTTATTATTTTTCTTAGCTTTACTTTTATCTTTTTACAGCAAAAACAGGCATTAGCTTTACAGTCAAGAGTAAATTAAATTTACCAACAAATCTTATCAATTACTAAATGGAAAACTCTATTAGTTTGCATATCTTACATCTTCCCTTAACATCATTTTCCTTTTTACCAAAATGCATTTTTAAAAGTTCTTTAATTATGTTCTGTGGTTATTAAAAATGTCAAAGTATTTATATGTTTCAGTGTATATTTAACTTATGTTTACTCTTGAATAATCACTTAACTGGGCATATGTTTCTAAATTGACGGTTATTTTTCTGCAAAACATGGAAAATATTGTTTTATTGCATTCCAGCTTGTTCTTGGTGAAGAGAAGTTTGTTGTTTAATTATCACTATTTTGTTGGTCATCTGCCAGCTTTTGAAATGTTCTCTTTAACCTCGACAGTCTATAGTTTGACTATGATGTGTTTAGATGACATTTGTTTGGGTGTTTGTTTTTAATATTTATCTCACTCAGAACTCTAAAAGATATATCAAATTGCAATCTAACTCTCTTTAATATTTAAAATTTCTCAGTTTTTAAAATATTGCTTTTTTAGTTTCTATTTCTGGAATTGTTAGAATATTTTGATATATACTCCATGACTCATATTTATTCATTTATTTTTTGCATTTTTTTCTATCAGTGATGTGTTATAGATGAAATCATTAGTAATACATTTCTGCTTACTTTTCCTAGTTTATGTCCAGTCTAGAGTTTTTCCTGCCTCTCAAATTTTTTATTTTAATAAGTATATTGTTTTATTTCCAAGATCCATTTTGTTCTCTCTCATACCCACCTTTATTTCCAAGATTCATTTTGTTCTCTCTCATACCCACCTTTTCTTAACACATTTTTGCCAATTTCCAGATATATCTATATATAGATATAGATATAGATATATAGATATATATATTTGTTGTTGTTATTGTTATTGCTGCTGCTGCTGCTACTGAGATGGAGTCTCACTCTGTCACCCAGACTCTAGAGTACAGTGGTGCTATCTCAGCTCACTGCAACATACACCTCCCGTGCTCAAGCAATTCTCCTGCCTCAGCCTCCTGAGTAGCTGAGACCTCAGACACATGCCACCATACCCGGCTAATTTTTGTATTTTTGCTAGAGATGAGGTTTCACCATGTTGCCAAGGCTGGTCTTGAACTCCTGAGCTCAAGCGATTCGCCCGTCTTGGCCTCCCGAAGTGCTGGGATTACAGGCATGAGTTACACTGCCTGGCCACTTCTCTATTTTTTTAACGTGATTTCTTTATGTCTTTGAATAGGCTGAACATCTCATTTTAAATTTTATTAGATTGTCCTATAAAGTTGATTTTATTAAAAGCATTGTTTTTCTTTTGGTTATTGCTTTAATTTTTCTTAGTATACTAGTTCTCCATAGTTCCCCCAATATTAATTTACCAATGTAAGGTCCTTGGTCTCCAAGAATTTTAGAATTTAGATGGGTTTATTTCCTTTCTTATTCTGTTATCTTATTTCCTGCACAGTTGTCTCTATCTAGTAATTTTGGAATTACTTTCAGCTCCTCAACTTCCTCAGACTCCAAAAAATGGGTCTTAAAATAGGGATTTAGGGTGTCTTTTACAAAAGTTGAATAAACAGCACATCCATTAATAGGATCAATGTTTCCAATAACAATAGCGTACCTGTGCTGTACAACCTCACTAGGTCCACACTTTTGTATAAAAATGTAAGTCTAGACATTTATAAAATGTTAGTGTTCGCTTTCCTTTTCTTTGGGGGGCAGGCAGTGGTTCTCGCTCCAACATACTGGCTTATCACAAGTTCAGTTTATAGAATTTTTAAACTAACAAGTGTTATTTTCTTTTGAATAATATTCATTTGTAAGGAAAATAAATTCCCATGAAGTGATATTTTAATGAATTTTCAATAAAAATAAACTTCAATCCAATTTCTAAGAGAATAATAGATTAGAAAGAAAGAGCACAAAGCCTATTTCATTCTGTGAACACCAAGAGAAACTTTCTAGGTCTAATATGTCTTGTGTCTCATAGCTAGGTAAGATGAGGAAAATTAGATGGGGTCCCCCAAAAAAAGAGCAAATAGAAATTTGGAAAACTGACATGAGAGGAAAACCCGTGAAAACAAATTTCTTAGACTAGAGATGAGTTAATTGAAGGAGGATTGTTAGAGGACAATTAGGTATATGGAATCAAGTGTACATTTGACTATGAGTAACAATTTAGAATCCGTGCATGAGACTAAATAGAGAAAAGGGAGGAAGTGAGGAAAGAAGGAAGGATAAAGGGAAGAAGAGAGTATGGATGAAAGATACAAAGGGAATTTAGTGATAGCCAAAAACTCCCTGACTCTAAAGATTGTTAGATATTAGTACAAAATCTAATTTACTGGGGATTATTTAGAAAAGTATAGTTAGCTCTCTTTCTGAGCTAGTTTAAATGTACTTAAATAGAAGCCTTAGCTGGGAAGCCAACTTACTGAAGTTTCTTCTAGCTTAGTCATGCTCTATCATGTGCCCCACAAAAGTTATTTCAACTTCTGCATATTCTAGGCATGAAATTCAAAACCAGTTTTGCTGAGATTCACACTTCAGTATTACTGATATAAGAGGCCTGTGAGCACATATAAACCTTTGGATACTGATTTAAACTATACTCTAGGGCTTCTAGGGTTGTCTGCTACTTAATTAGACCTTCCACATAGGAAAATAACAATAAGCTGGTGTCCCGTCTCCAACAGATGCCTGAGCCAGATGCTCAGAGAAACACACACTCCATTTCCTATAATGTTGTCTATTGCTTATTTTTATAGTGTTAAAGAAGCCTGTCTGAGAATACTTTGAGAATTTACAATAAAAATGAATACAATATGAAGAGCAAAAGGACTAACCTCTATTTTAATATTTTTGTTGCATATGCTTTCTTATGAATAATCTTTTTCTATTATACTTTACTTTTCTCACATTTTAACTTCCACCTAGTTCTTTTGGCCATTCTTAATTGGATTTAATGTACAATGAAAAGGTACATTAAATCCCTGATTATCTACAATATACCAGAGAACTTATAATGCCTGAAATTCCAGGGGCAGACCTGAATCTGTCCACCTTAGGGAAGACTTTGATAAAATGTAATGTTGAGGGCACTGACACCTGATGTGTTAAAAAAAAAAAAAAAAAGAGAGAGAAAAGAGAAGAAAGAATACTCCTGCAAGAATGTGAAGATTTTGAAGAAAAAATAAGACTCATGATAAATTATATCCACTGTGTCATTTTCCTCAAGGCAGTCTCAGTAAAGCTTCCCAGGAGGTCATTAAAAAGAATTCAAGAAGAAGAAGGAAGGACATCCAGCCAGACGGTAGTTTGTCCCATTTGTTTAGAATCACCACAAAAATGGTTATTAAAAAAATACCAATAATATCACTAGTTGTTGTCTGATATTAACTCTGATGAAAGAGTACATCCAATAAAATTTTCCTAGAACTAGGTGAAAGTCTGCATTTGGTAGCATCTTGTACTTGCAGTGACATTCTTAGTAGATTCAGGAACAGAGTGAGGAATAGTAAAGAGAGTGATGACTTTGAAAGCAAATAATTTGATTTTTATCCGTTACTAGCTATGTTACCAGTCTCTTTTCAGCTCTCTTATGTGACAGTCACATGGAGACTATAATAGCTAACAGAAAATCTTTGCTAAATCCAAGTGATAAAATTATGCCAAGATATAGCACCACGTTTACAGTATAATTGATCAGTATATATTAGTTTCTTCCCACCACCTCCAACCACCCCTCCAAGCTTTTCTCTCAAGGATTATTTTTTGTATGGCCCATTCTCTGTAGCATATGTGCCCTTGTATATAGTGTACCACATATATCAGCTAATGACATTCCATCTTTGGATATTTAGGTAAAATTATCTCAATTTTCTATCTTATGTTTTACATGAAATCCAATGTCCTCTCGAAAATTTCAGCAATTTCCAAAAAGCTTACACACATGGTTATGTCTAGATCCTAGTTTAGGCCCCAACTTCCCTTGCATCTTACCATCTGCTGCCATTATTTCTTTCTACTCTGTGCTGCTCCATATACCCAACAAATTGTTTTCCTAATTTCACAAAAAAAAAAACTATATAAGCCACAGAGATAAGCATAATACAGAGATTAAAAGACTTAAAATTGAATAAAAAGATACCACTATGTGAGTCAATTTTGCATGTCAACTTGATTGGATAAAGAAATGGATGGGCAGGTATCCAGTTAAACACTGTTTCCAGGTGTGTCTATGACAGTGTTTCTGGATGAGATTCTTATTTGAATCACTGAACTCAGCAGATAGTTCTTCCCAAAGTGGGTTTCATCCAATCCATTGAGTATCTGGATAGAACCAAAGATGGATAGAACATCTCAACATCTCCTTAACTCGGATATTTACATCATCAGTTCTGTTGATTCTCAGACCTTTCAGACTCAGATTGAATTATACTACTGACTTTCCTGGATCTCTAGCTTGCAGAGGGCAAATCATGGGACTTAGCCTCCATAACTGTGTAAGCCAACTACTCATAATAAACTTCCTCCTGAAAATATATCTCTCTTTAAAACCCATTAGTTCTGTTTCTCTAGAGAACCCTAATACATACTGTTCCTACACTTCCTTTTGATTATCCAGAGTTGACGTTTCTTATTGGACATCCTTCTCCTCAAGATTCTGCCTCTAACCCCATTGCTCACCCTCTTTTTCCTATTCATCCGTCTTCAGTATTCTCCTTTGTTTTTCCCATCACTGAATTTATGTTCATTTCCTACTGTTCAGATATCTTTCCTGTATTTTTCCAATCTGGTCCTTTAGGAGCTTATCTTCCACCCTCTATTAACTTAGCAGAGCACATTCAGTTCTTCCTTCACTGAGAGGAACTTTGACCCCAAACTACAAAAATTGTGTTTTTATGTCACTTAAAGAGTACTGAATATACATACTGAAATAAGTAGTATTTTTTTGTAAATATTACTGAAAACATTAAGGTGAAGTATCTTTTCCATAGGCTAGCAATATAAGGTACATTTCGCTTTCATTTTTTATTACTTTTTCTTTATTCTGTTGTTATTCTATAGCTGAATCACTTTTAGCATTCATGGATTTATGTCTGATCCTTGAATTTTACTTTAACCTTTGACATTCTATCCTGAGTCTTTGTACAAGAATAAACTCTAACTTATGATCAAAACTGGTCTTTCTACCACAGAACACTCAACACTAGAGACTTCTAGTGTTTTTCTAATGTAATTATACTGCAACTTTTATGAGGGCTGTTATTTTATTCACTGCTAAATTCCTGGAAGTACATATGTGTTTTATATTTGTGTGTTGTGTGTGTTCATGTGTGTGTGTACATACATGAGTGAATATTTGACTCAATTATCTCATTATTCTTCCAATAATGATACAATGTCCTGATTATCTATTACTGTGTCACAACGTCCACTCCAATAAATATAATGGTTTATACAAAAATTGTTTCTCATGATTTTGTGGGTTAATGCGGCTCAGTTGGACATTTCTTACTCGGATATCGGCAGTATGGCCTCTTCACTTATATATATGGCCCTTCGGTGTTCCCCCATGTGATCTCTATCCCTAGAAGGTTCTTGGACTTCTGTTTTGGTAGTTCAGGGCTCTAAGATATTAAGAAAAAGCTACTTATTTCCTGAAAGATCTAGCATCTTTCAGGATGGGGAACTACACCCCATTTCTCAATGGGATGAGCATCAAAAATGTGTTGCCATCTTTCATTAACAGTATATGTATTGAGCCCTCACTAGGGATTAAGTTCTATACAAAAGAAAAAAATTTAAAAAGTCATCTCATTTAATGCTCACAATGATTCATTGAGATACGTACTACCATTGCTGTAGTCACACAGCCAGTGAGTTGTAGAGTGGGCTGTTTATTTTATGGTCTGATTGAATTTAATGCTCAAGTTCTTTATCACTATGACATATAAAGTCTGTTTAGCTCACCAAAAGATCCTTCTAGAAAAAGTTATCACCATCTATCTTCCACTGCATGGCCGGCACAGTTGATACATGCATATACTTTTGAAAAATCCACACAGTTGTTTTGCAAAGATAACATAAAATTGCAATTCAACCTGTTATGGTGCAATTTTTTTTTAGTCCATTGATAACTGAGTACATGGATCAACTAATAAGATTAAAACTTTCTATTTGGTTATGGCTGCTTTTGAGGGAGGGAAGACCACCTATATTTATTTGTCAGTTTTTTAAATTTTACAATATACATTGGCTTGATATTGGGTCACAAGCTTAGGACAGAGCTCAGAACCAGCTGCTTGCTGAGGAGGGCATGTCAGGTAACTACTGAAAGTTGTTATTATTCCTTTACTGGCAAACATGACAATACTCCTGACTTTTAACCTAATCTCTCCAGTCTTAAAGGTATGAAAGGTTATATTTGGTGCATGAACAGTATGCTAATAAAATATCATTGTTTCCTTTTTTCCATAAGAACTTTTCAGAGTAATCTAGATCATCCTGTATGTGGTAAAGAATAGGATTATTCATTTTTGGCAGGAAGTTTCTTGATATTAAAGCATTATTAATTTTTCCTAATTGAAATAAATATTGTCAACTATTTTGTATTTTACCAGGAAAGCACGATTTAAAAAAGAAAAAAATTCCCACATCTGAAGAAGTGAATAATTAAAATGGAGTAGAACAAAATTCACTTGGTAAAGCACCTTACAACTTATCGTTCATTGTTCAAAATTGTCCCTAAAATACAAGCAAAAACACTAAATAATCTTAATGCAATTTTACAGACATTTATGTTTTTTAATCTTTGCTTTTTTGTTCAAAAACTAGTCTGACAAACTGATAGATTTCAAAATCTGTGAAACAACTTGATATTCTGAATTTCACATTTTAGTGATTTTCTTTTTATAGTTTGTCACTGTGTTAGGAACCCAGTATGATTTGAATGTTATCATAGATCAGTCTTAACTTTCAATCCCAACTGAATTTCCTTAAAAGGAAAGAATTTATTCATCTCTCATTATCAAGTCTCTACATTTCAAGTCCCTAGGTGTGTTTCAGTACATTGTGTTTTAGAAAAGCACATCTAGCATTTCACATTTCCTCAGTGACTGTGATAAAGGACTCAGTAATGGAGGAGACTCAAATGAGAAGGTCAACTTGGAGGTTAAAATTAAAAAGAAAATGTTCTTCTATGGCAATCAGCCTTTTCCTATTCTCCAATCCTCTTCAGGGGCTAAGAGAATGGAATGGGGCCCAGAATTACAATAACGGTCCAGAGCATAGTCATATAAATAGGACATACAGACTGAAGCCTTGAGTTCATTTCCTGGCTTGCCCTTAAGTTGGTTAGGAGTGTGCGTGTGCATGTGTTGGTGGGAAGGGGTTGGAGGAGGGTATGCTTGCATGCATTTACAATCTAAAATAAATGTTTCTAAGAAAGGAGATGCATGATGTCCTCTCGATATTCTTTGAAATCTTAAAATCCATAATGTTGTGGGGTTTGTAAAAATTGTGTCAAATTTAGTTTAATATTATGTGAAAATTTTAAGATTAGACAAACCTTAGTATGATTTCAGAATAAAAGAAAACTTTCATTCTGGAGATTAAAATTAGCACTAAGAATAACTGCAAACTTGATAATGATCTTATTCAAAAGGAAGTTATAATTTTCTATCCACACTTAGTAATAAAGGTAGTCTCTGAATAATAATGAGTACTTTCTAAAGACAACCTCTAAAATACGGTTTAAAAATTATGAGTTTGGGCTTCCTTTTGCCTCTAGTGACTTGACTATTTCAATTTCTAGGCTATGTCCAAGTCATGTTTGTATAATTCTGTATGTATTAATATGAAAAACAGTGACCAAAGTTGATAAACGTAGGACTTAGCAAAAACAAATTCCTGCAGTGAGGAAGAAATAGAAGAGGGGTAGGTACTTCTTAACTGAATAGTTTATTGAAATACCAAAAATAGATGAGAAGCAGTATTTGTTGAAATGCTGTCACTTTTATTGCAATAAAACACAAATCTCTTCTCCTGGAAACCTAAGGAAAAGTGTAATTTAGTAGAGAAAAAATTTTCAAAATGTTCTATTGATCTCTAAAAGATAATCAATTCATAATAACTCACTCAGGAACAATGAATGTCTACAATTCTAAGTTGAATATAGAGGAGAAAATGAGAGGACAGAAATGTAAATAATAAAAAGAAAGAGAAGACATTGTTAAATCATCGTCCTCCAATTAATTTTTACAGCAGAGGATTGTGTAGAACATTGTCAAACGCAAGGCCATGGCAGTCAGGATGAAATATATTTGCTTATGGCTTGGATTGGCTGGTGTATTATGTAAGAAATATTCTACAGTCATAGTTAGCTTATTTAATTTTGATTTTAAAGTACTCTTTCGTATTCGCAGTGTATTTAGTACATTAAAGTAATGAGATGATTCCTTAGAGAATATAATCACATTTCTATTAAACTATATCCATTCTCATTAAGCACAATACAGTTAGGCTCCATCTCCAGTGTTAAGACAACAAAATAATATTTACACATTAACATTAAAGGATATTATGCTAAAGTTTCTAAATCCATAGTTTAGAAACCTTCAAATTGATTAGACTGTTTTTACTTTACATAGTCAGAAGTTCTCATACTCTAATTTTGTTCACTTCCAAGGCGATTAAAGTTTTTATATCCAAAAATCATCTAAATATTACTGACTAGTATTTGAATATGAAAAGTTAGCTAACGAATTTGAGCAGTAAACATAGCAAAACTGTTTCGGTCCTGGGAAAACAGCCCTGTCCTCTATTCAGTTTATCTCCTAGATGATTCCTGAATTCTCTACATAGAAATAACTTGGCATAGAAAGTCATTTTATGCTCCCATGGTCTTTATGGAGTCATAAGCTTTTATTTTTCCAAATTTAGATAATAGATGAGTTAAAATACAGGTAAGTAGTTCAGGCCACCTTTCAAGGTTCAGAAATGCTAAATACTTACTGTATCTTAAGTCTTTGAAATGTTCAGCTTCAAGCTAATATTTTTCATTAGCTTTATAAAACCTTTGAACTCTTAACTGGCGATACATTAGATGATTTCAAAAATCTACTTTAAATTCTCTAACATCACACATTTTTTTCAATTATTTAACTGGGATAATATAAAATTTATTAAAGGATATTAACATATGGGAGGATAAATGATATGCTAAACAATTAGACTGTAATATTAAGAAGGAATATATTTGGAGTTTTCATAGACAAATTGTCCAGGAATTTCTGAATCTTGATGATGAATATACATGAATAAGGCTTTAAAGTGTTTTGTGCCACTAAATAAATGCAGGGGATTTTACAGATGGAAGTCTGAGCTTAAAGAGTTTGGGCCCTCTGTTTTCTCTAGTGACTTGACTGTGAATGCGATCGTGACTGTGTAAAGGCCAGTAGATATACACTAACAAGACTTAGTTCTAATAAGAGTTCTTTAATAAGGAAGAGCTACTAATAAATCGTGCAGTGTGAGCAAGGAACAGTCATTTAAACCATGAGGAAAACTGAAATGCAAATCCCAGGTGTACATAAATAAATAAATAATCTGGTTAATTTAGATTATAAAGCCAACTACCCAAAAGAGATTTTCTGATGGCAAAATTAAAGGGAGCTTTTATTTCGACACCTTTATAAGTGCTCAGCTTCCAACAGAATGTAGATGTCTAGGCTGATGACAAAAGCACAGGTAACCCTCTGTCAATTCATTCTCTTTACTGGAAATTAAATGAGGTATTTCTTTGCACTGAGGTGGGAAACAATTTTTTTTCAACAGGTTGTGTTAGTTGTTTTAATTGGACAATTCCAAAAGAAACAGCTTTAAGAAATCATCAAGATATTTAGGTAACAAAGGGTATCCTCATCTGGCAATCAGAGAACTTTTGCTCTAGTAGAGAAGACATTATTACAGTCAGAATAGTCTGGGTAGTACAGCAGAGAACTTTCAGCTGCTTACTTAGCAGAACAGTGTTTATTTATTTTTATTTACTCAAATGACTAGCAAAACCATGATTAACAAAAGTAAGCTGTTATATAAAATAATGATATCCAGTACAACCAATATGGTACTAGACAGAAATAACTCAATAAATGAAAATTCTAGAAAGCAGCCAGTAGTACTGCCCACATTCACTGGCATTAAAATCTTTCTCAGTTAGGAATCACTTTTCTGAATTATATTATCCAAATGTTTAAAAAATACTGCTATGATGGTATCATCCCCTAAGGTACATTTTACTATTGCTTTCATATTTTCCACACTTTCCTGCCTTTTATGGTTTGCTAAGTTTTACTAGCCCAAAACTTAATTCCTTTTGCACGTATAGTCTATGTTGTCAAGTTATTGTCACTATTAGAAAAATGTTCATATGAAGACTTGCTCATCCCACAGACAGAAATTAAGATCACACTTTCTAGGCTTAGAATTTCATCTATATGTTGAGAGGACAATATAAAAGGTTTTTGTAACCTATCATATGACCCAGCTATACAATCAGCAAGAGAAAACAGAAGCTATTATTATTTTCTTTGGTTTAAGAGAATTAAGTGGACCATGTGTATGTAAAATGATTACTGACACTTTGTTTCAGTGTATTAGTAAAAACTTGCATCATTTCCAAAATTTATTTGGCAAAAAGTAAACCCCTCTGTGGAGGACAGTTAAGAGTCCCACTTAGATTTTAAAGTATCTATTGGAATCTTATAAACTAATTTTTACTTGTAAAATTGCTTTTTCAGTCTTTTAATTCTAAGAGAATCATACAATATTTTACATTGGTTGTATTCATTACAGCTAGCTAATGAAATCACAAATCAGTAATTAAGTTTAATGAGTAAAATAAAATTTTTATGACAAAAATGTTTATAATTTAGATGTAAAAACCCAATCATTTAAAACCAATACTTGGCTGAGTGCAAGTCTATAATCCCAGCACTTGGAAAGGCCAAAGCAGGAGGATTGCTTGAGGCCAGGAGTTCAAAAACCAGCCTGACCAATATAGCGAGAACCCCATCTCTTAAAAAAAAAAAAAAAAAAATCAACCAGGTGTGGTGTTATGGACTTGTAGTCCCCACTACTCAGAGGCTAAAGTGGAAGGATTCCTTGAGCTCAGGAGTTTGAGACTTCAGTGTGCCATGGTAAAGCCACTGCACTCCAGCCTGAGCAACAGAGCAAGACCTTCTCTCAAAATTAATTAATTAATTAATTAAAAAATAAATAAACTCAGTACTCCACCAAAGTTAGTCCCTCCTAATAAATGTTTACAGTTTTAGAATTACCAAAGTCATTCAAACTACTAGAACAAACGTTTAATTTGCTTCTGTTAAGTAAATATACTTAGAAAAAAGTTTGATTTAATAATGATATTTAGGTCCAGAGTAAGTACTGATTTAACTTACATTTTACCATAACTTATGTAGACACTAATATTCTTTCTTATCTAAACAATAGCTGTCTGATGACTACCAGAATGTGTCATTCACTTATCACACAGGCCTTTCCACCAAGTGCCATTGATATTGATGCTCTGTGATATCAACTATAATTTTAATTAAGTCTGAAACTAAAATGTTAGAAATTATTCAGCCAGAATTTGAGGTAACCTAATATCAGATTTTTACTAATATTTTAGGAACATAAATTCAACCTTTGACTCACCCTTAAATTTATGGAGCATATTTATATAATATAGAGAAAGGTAAAATGTATCTCTAGTAACTACAAAGTTCTTTCCATAGAAATCTAAAAATCCTGTATCTACTGGTTCCGATCAAACAACAAATTCCTCTGGTACTGTGACTTCAGGCTCCGAAAGAAAACATCGTTCAAGGTCATGGAGGACTAAAAGGAAATTCAACAAGGAATATCTCTGAAAGTAGAAAAAGGAAAAATAAAGAAGCCAAAGTGGGCTTATAAGGACACAAATCTCAAAAATAAACCTATGGAAAATGCGTAGAGATGTAAATATCCAGGAATAGGTAAAAAAAAGGGTGAGAGCCCCTAAATATCTTCCAGGAAAGCTCATCTAAATCAGTCTCAGTGTTGGAATCAAGCCGACCTTTGGGTGACTCCAGGGTTTTCATTTCCTCTAAGGCTTCGGACCCAGAACTTCCAGAGTGACAAAGAAAAAAGTATAATTTCTCCTGAATAACAGCTCTTCAGTTATTGAAAGATAGAGCTATCAATCCTTCAGTGAGTCTTGTCATTTCTAACACACATCATTAGTTCTTTCCTAGCACTTCAAATGACAGAGTTCCTTGGTCATTCACTTGGTCCTTCACTATTATAGTCATTTTCCTTTCATTCTATGTCAATTTTTTTTGCCTTTTTGTTTAATAGTATAAGGGTCCAAAATAAACTCAACACTACAGATTTTGATGAGAAGCACAGAACATGTTGGTGCCAAGTTACTTGAGTGTAATTTTTTAATTACTGTATTTCAAATAATAACACTTTATATTTTCTGTGGGGTAAATCAAACTATTCAGTTGCCTTTAGGTCTCAGAGCACATTGATTGCCTTAATTAGGTCTATAGTTGTTTTGTGTATATAGCATTTGTGTATTTAAATAATTGGCAAATTCTTTGAGGACTTTAACATATTCAATGTCCAAGGCATATTTAATGTACCCAATATGACATTTTCTAATAGGTGACCAAATGATCACTGAGAAATTTAAAGCTAAATTGAACACACACACATGCAAACTTGGCATTAACTTAGTATATCACTCACTCCCTTCAATAAATATGTAACACGTGGGTAAGAAATCTTTTTCAATTCATATGTTCACTCTACTCCATGACTCCTTCAAACTTTAGTAAAATACAGACAAAATCAAACATAATTTAGTAATAAGCATTTTACTATTGTCACAAAGAAAAATACCTCTTTACTCAGGATTTACACTGTTTCAAATGCATGCTGCTGACGTTTTTAACAAATATGACCCTTATGATTCAATTATTCATTTGCATTTTTAAATAACGGAAATGAACAAGATTTATCATCTATTCAAGGTCATCCAAATGACTATTGTGAATTGAAAAGAACAAAAGTGTCATATAGCTTGAAATAAAAATCGTGGCTCTGAATTCAGGACCAGGATTATAATATTGGAATTTTTTGCTTTAGTTCTGATGTTGATTTACATTATATAAAGAAATTAAAAGCAAGCTAAGAACTTTCCAAAAAAAGTTCTAGTTAAAAATAATTTTGCTTAAATTATCTGAGATTATAGTAGCTACATAAATACATAAGAAAAATTACAAGTTTTGGAAGCATGAAGTCTTGTAGTTGAACCTCACTTTCATTGTTACTAGCCATATGACCTGTGGCAGGTTACTTTACTCCCTATCAGAATGCTACTGACATCCTTGAGCGTAAATGTTATCTTTAGGAAGATTAAGATAAGAACTTCGTCAGCTTTTGTTTTAAAGTTTTAATCTTTTCACTGTCTGGGTGGTCTTACTGACTTTCCTTATTTCAATTTCCACCTCAAAGTTGATGACTTCTAATCAGTATCTTCTACAAAGTGTTTCCCCTTAAATCCCATAAATCTATATCTAACTGCTTCTTTGAGACTTCTATTTTTCTGTGCACAGGCAATTCAAATTCAGCATTCCCAGTCTGAACTCATAATATATTTCCTTTAATCTGCCTCTCTTCCTGGATCCTACTTAGGTGTATCATTGACTCACTTGATCGATTATAATACCTCTTATTTGGCATCCCCACAGCAATTTTTGTTCTCTACTTTATTGCAAAAGTAATTGTTCTTGGTAATTTAATTTTGTCATTCTTTTGTTTAAACACTTAAGTGAATCCTCATAACTTACAATTTAAAATTCAAATTCCATACTATCATCCAGGACTTCCATGCAGTAAACCTTATCTCTCTCTTCAGTTTCAGCCCTCATTATCCATGGACTCACTTTTTGATCACACTAAATTGTAGTTCTCCAAATGCATCACTATATTTCCAACTACTCTGCCTTTCTTCATGCTTCTCTATTCATTTGGACTTTCCCTTCTTCTCCAACTAATTAACATCATCTCTTAAGACAGTTCAAGTGTGATCTCCTGAAGAAGTAAAATTAAACAAAATCTTCTCTAATTCCTTTCCTCCCCTCCTCTGATTTATATGGAATAAAAGCTCACTAAAAATCATATTGCTGCATTTCCAGTTTATTTTTTAGTTATCTTTGCATGTGTCTACAGTCTCTTATTTTTCTCTGGGTCTTATCAGTTGACTCCTAATGGTATAAGAAACACTCAGTGTAGATCTCAAGGACAAAAGAATGAACAAATGACATCTGAGTTACCCCTTAAAAATAAGCAACATACTGACTTGTGCAAATGGCAGAAAGATTGTGTCAGGCAGTGGGATAGCATGAGCAGAGGCATAAGGAAGAAATCGGAGAACACATACAAATCAGTGTAAAGCTGGTCAAAAATGAAGATAGTTTAGACAACATGGTGCAATGGCTACTACTGATCTGGCCTTATTCTTTTTGAGTACTTGAAATTATCAGGAGAGTCTATCCAATCCAGGTAGTTCCTCTTTACTTTGGTGCTTTATATAAATAATACACGGATTTTTTGAAAATGACTGAATTCATTTCATATGATAAGTACTATATAAAGTAAACAAAAATACATGGCCAGGCATGGTGGCTGATGCCTGTAATCCTAGCATTTTGGGAAACCAAAGCAGGCAGATTGCTTGAGTCCATGAGTTTGAGACCAGCCTGAGCAACATGGTGAAACCCTATTTCTACAAAAAATACAAAAATCAGCCGATGTGGTGGCATGTGCCTGCAGTTCCAGGTACTCAGGAGGCTGAAGTGGGAGGATCAATTAAGCCCAGGGGCTCAAGGCTGCTGTGAGGCATGATCAGGCCACTGCACTCCAACCTAGGCAACACAGCGAGACCCTGTCTCAAAAATAAAAAATAAATACAACTTTGTGCATAATATAGTATATAGAATCATGTTCTGCATATTTCCAATTTCCACTTGATCGGGTATCAATAAAAAGCCTTGTTAATAATTATAGCAAAGAGAACAGTCTCTGCTCTGGACTTCCGTGCTCTCTCACATTGTCCTCAAGCTACACCATTCTGTATTATGTCTTCATTCTTGCATTGCAGGCTTTCTTTAGTCTCTGCTTCAAGGCCACCTTCAGTAGATTTATTTTAATCAAAGTGATTATTAAGCTAGTTTCTTCTTGTCTGTTATGTGCTATAAAATGTCTGGCCTGCAGTACTTAGGATTGCGGACTTGCTTCTTTCTATTTGGGGGGACCTGAATTTTCCTGTCTCTAATCTTAGGACATTGTGTTCTCCAGCCATCTGTTTCTGGGTTCTGCCTACACAGCAGAGATGGGGGAAAAAAAGTTTTATATCCTACTTCTTTTGTTGGGAAGAGTAACTTCCAGATTGAGTGTGAACTAACAGCACAACTCCCACCACACAGGAATGTGGAGGTCGTGACATTTCAGGTATGACACCAGTGACACCCACCCCCGAATCCAGTAACTCAGTTTATATCCAATAGACGACTTATATCCAATGTCACGAAACCTCACAGGGAGCACTTTGTGACAGGAAAATAGAATTTATGAAGCTACTAAATTTGGAAAGTCAGATGAAATAAAAATCTTGAATCTTAAAGGGCTGTAAAAAGATAATGAATAAAGAAACAAATAAAGGTAATTTCATGGGAATTACAGTAAAACTATAATACTTCTCACAGTAGAGGTTAAAATAGAGTTTTTCCTTTTACATTGAGAACTTAAGTGGGATGCAATAAATATATTATGTGCTCCAAAATTCTAAATAAACTTATTTAGCATTGGTCAAAATTTTCCATTAAAAGATGTGACCTTTCTTCATAACGTAAGTATTTTTTCAGGTTGTTTTAATACTAAAAGTAAATTGCTCCTGAGTACCCATGCATTTACGCAAGACTGGTATCCACAGTAGTTATAGCTAAAGGACAACCAAACCTGCTGAAAGCATAAAAATTGGTCTCTATTTACCCTTAGAAATTGACAATTCTTAGTGGCATGTGTTATGTTTGATAACAAATGTTACTTGGCAGGATAAAGTAGTGACTTTAAATCAACATCAAAAAGGCACATTGGAATATATCAGAGAGAATGTTATTTTGACACATTGAAAATGTGGCATAGATAAAAAGAGATCCATCTGAGTTTATTTAAACTAACTTTATTTAAGTGTGAGCTTTTTAGACAGATGTTATATCTATAATATTAATATATGATATTTAACATTTAAGATATTCATTGAAATATTTGGCTATCATGGAATTTATCATTCTTTTCTTCTCTATAACTAGGTTATCCATATGCAGGGAACTCACATTTTAAAGATAAAGGAAAAAGGCAATTAGATATTAAAACTGTAAAGCATTAAATAAATCATATATATAAATGGTACTCACTTGGTATTTTTAAATAATCACCTGTCTTGTTCATATTGGTTATTGTCTTACTAGTATTTCTTATTTTTGAGCAATGTTAATACTTTCTCACAAATGTATAAATTACTACATAGATATGACTAGCCCATATTAATAGTTGCCTCCTTTCTATTTTTGCGTATATAAAATTATGTTGCCTCAATATTTCAATGTTGCGGATAACAAAACCTCATGAGAGGCTGAATACATACACAAGAATGATTTCTACAAATATTTTCCTTTAAAAGTAACAATGTGCAGAAATAAACTTTAAATTCAGTCATAGACTTTTATAGGCTTAGTGTTAGACAATATTTGCTCTCATTTATGATTTGATAAAAATTAAAATGCCATGGAATGTACCAAAATCTCAATACGAATGCAGTTTTCTGACACTGGAGGAGCTACTATGTTATGCCACCCAGATCTACCCTTTAGGGCTGAAGCATTCATCCCATAGAGAAAGGGCTTCTGCCTTCTGTTAGCCACAGATGAGTTATTTAGGAATAGCTCTCTGCAAAGGGGAGATGGAACATTCAAGATTGATTGCTTTCCCCACAGGGACAGCCAACATCCAATATTGTTGATGTGGGGAGAAAGATCCAACCTCTTTGCCACAATTTTGAATACTTTTGGACCATTTGTGCTTCAGAGCTCCAACGGAGACAGTTGAGTCCTCTGCTGAAACTGTATCAATTTCAAATTCTCCCTCTGCTTACTCTTGCTTTGCTCACTCTCTTACAGGTATTGTTCCCGAGAGCATTCTCCAATGTACCAATGGCATGTAAATTCTATCTCAGGGTCTATTGCCTTGGGAAAATAACCTATGAAAATTAGTGTTAGAGTGATAATAGGAAACAGGCACTAAAATGAGATTTTGGAGCCATATCACTCACTGTAAGGCTACTACCCAATTACTGGTGTTAGATGAAGCAATGATAGACCATGGCATGTGGCTTTCCCGGGGAGTGAACTGGGAGAAGATATTAGTGGAAGGGAATGCTCTTGTGGGTGTAATAGACCAGCTGCTTGGCAACTTCATGGAAGTAGCAATTATGATGACAATAAAATCAAATGGCTCTTGGTAGGTGCTATTGATACATTAAAGAAAAAATACCAATAGAAAGATGGAGGGTGATTAGTTACTAATTGAAGACAAAGTATGAAATCTAGAACATCTTTCTGGTAAAATAGAAAGAGAATCTTTTGTCTTTTATCCTTGAGGTAGTAAATTCTGAGGACCAGATCCAGGACTTAAAAAGATAGAAAAGCTTCCAGGAAGATTGAATTCTCGATGTTAGCAAGTCTCCTCTACCATGGTCACATCCATGACCGGGAATGAGTGAGAACTGAAGATTAAGATTGGAAAATCTGTGTCTGCAAACTAAAATTCCCAGATGTTCCAGAACCCTCTGGCCCTGCAAAAGTGTTTCACTGCTCTTTGTTAATAGCTAGTGTCTTTCTACTTGCTTGAACATACAGTTAGAATTTATAGGTGTGGGAGCAAACTCCATGATTCAATAATTTAAAATCCTAGCAAGGACTCTAGGAGACAGGTGGTAACATTCTATGAGAATTACTCTTAGAAGCATGTAGAACAAATGGTGGAGATAGGTGGTAACATTCTATCAGAATAACTCTTAGAAGGATGGAGAAAGCAATAGCCCACACTAAGTGAAGTAAAAATGACAAAAAAGGCCATAAAAGATGTTGGAAGAAGAGTTTGAGTGGCTCAGAGAAGTGAATATGCTATATAAGAGAGTAGATATACTACATAAAGTCAGAAAATTCACCAATTACTGTGCTTCACAGAGTGGGCCTTGGGGATCTTGTTTACTAAAGAGGTAAGAAACTTGTTTGATATAATATTATTTTAAAAGCTCAGTGGTGGCTGTCTTCTGTAGAGCAGGCATAATAGGAGCTGCTGTTACAGAAGTGGTTTCCCTAATGGCAATGGGAATGATATAATCCCGAAATAATCGAGGTCATATGGTGTTATTTAACCATCAAAGATAAAGTTGAACCAATTATCCCAATGAGAACAAGGTTAGACTAGCAATAAGGGTGGCCTTACTCATAGAGAGCCTTGGAAATTGTGAAAGTAACACAGCATTTCCAAGGACAGGATAGGGTATTGTTCAACCAAATACAAAGAAATCAAGGTTGGTTGATCAGGAGGTTGAGTGAAGCTGCCCCAGTAAAACTCTCGATTCCTTGCAGAGTGTCCAGACAGCAGCCAGTTTCAGATGTGGAACCCTTTGAAGACAGGCTAGGTCCACAGAGGGGAAGATCCTGCCTTATTGCAATAGGGTATATAGTAAAACTTCCTCTGGCATTTTCCCAAAGTGCTGTATAGCCACTTACTCAAGAAAGTTTATGTTGAGGGAAAGAAAACAAGCAGATATTTTATGACTCTTGAACACTGTGTCTGAGATGACTTTAAAGTATGAATGTCTCCATCCTCTTCAGGATATACAGGCAGTGTAATTGAGACATGGAAATAATGCTCCAATGCATTTACTGGGTTTCACAAAAGGCTACGAGTTTTGAATGGACCCAGAGAAGAATACAGCTTGACATCAGGTCCAGGTTTCAGTGCAAGTATCCCTGTCTCTTAGGCCATGTAACCCAATAGACTCTATGATCTTAGAGGTAAATGAGGCAGAAAAAAGATGCAATGAGAATAATTCTATAGCAGGAAAATCACAACATAGATTTATGGGGTTCTTGATCAAGGCTATGCCATCTGCAGCAGAGAAATATTATTTGAAAAGTAGTCTATATTGTCCTTCTGGGCCTTGGTAGAGACAGAATACCTGATACATCAAACGTCCATGCAGCCAGCATGCTCCATCATGCGTTAGTTGTGTTGTGTCCCAATATAGAGTGGACTGGACCTAACAACAATCTCTTGTAAGATGAAAATGGAATATGTGGATATGATCAAGTGAAAAGAACCCAAGATTCTGTTCACAAACAGGTGGAACAGATATGAGTGCCTCTCTCTTGGCTCACTATTATGGTTGTCTGTTGGGGGAGAATCACTTGGATTATAGATCCATCGGCTCAGTATGTAAGATGAAGATAAAAATTAACTGCTACTATAGGTCTTCACCCTGGAGTGGACATGAAAGTCAGCCATAGGGGAAACTCCTTGTACTGGTCAGAAATTTGTATAGTAGGCCATCCATATTGCCTGGGGGAAAATATAGTCTCAAGGCAGTGGTGAATGATTTGACTATTGGGCCATAGACATGAAAAGAGAAAAATTGGAAAACTTGGAGGTCTGGTAAAAAAAGGAATGTAGATAGGTCTAAGAGAATTTTTGTAGATCTTTGTATTGTATGTTGACACTCATGCAGGAACATCCACCATAGAAGTGGCACTGATAACATAGAAATCAGAACAACTCTGCCATTTGACATCAGCCAGTCTCTATCATTGGCCATTTCGGTGCTCTGGGCTCAAGAAGAGAGTAGATGGGAAGGAATATATGGAGCAAATAGCATGGGTATGCACTCACTAAGGCTGATTTAGCTACTAACGGTAATGAATGTCCAAATTTTCTGCAACAGAATACTAAGCCAAAAATCAGTGAAGTGATAGTAAATGTTTAACAACTGGCTATCCAGGGAAAAGAGCCCTGATTTCTGTGGCATTAACACACCAAGCATGATAAATTTCAAGTCCCTAACTTGACATCACTGAATGTAAAACTGTGAAGAAATGCAAATTTAGATCGTAAGAAAAAAAATCAAGACAGCTTTAGCATACCACTAACTATATGACACCATCCCTTCAGGAAATCAACCTAGGAACTTGATGGCAAGTTGATTACATTATACCTTTTACCATCATGGAAAGGACAGTGAATCCTCTTGAATGGAATCAATATATATTCCAGAAATTATGCTTCTCCAACTTAAAGGGCTTCAGTGAGTGCTACTATCTAAGGATTAACAGAATGGTTCTCTGGTGTGTGATTCTGTATAACATCACATTGGATGAAGAGAACTTTTTCCCAGCAAAGGTAATATAGCTGTGGGAATATAACCATGAGATATAGTGGTTCTACCACACATTGTACTACAGCAAAGATGTTGGCCAGATCGAACAACTGAATAGCCTTTTGAAGTTGCAGCTAGCTGCTTGGAAATAATCATCTTGACAGTATAAGGCATCATCATCCAATACTTAGAATATGTCAAATCAATGGCAGTTATGTATCCTTAATAGGTTGAATACATGGAACCAAAACTGTAGATGTAAGAGAGATCTTGCTTTCAATGAGTTCTGGTTTGCTGTTTGGGAAATTAGTGGTTCTAGTTCCTAAAATTCTAGGTTCGACAGCTCTAGATGTCTTATTTTCATATAAAATAAATACTTCTACATAGGGTACTCAGCAAGAGCCTCATCGAATTGCAAGTTCTCATGCCCCAGCTGTAAGGATTACTGCCTACTGAGAGCTCATAAACAAATTCCCCTTTGAATAAGGTCGTTGCCTTACCCTCTTCCCAGGGGCAGCCTGCATGAACTGTCCTGATAAGCATATCTCAATTTGGGACACCTTTGAAGGGCCATCTCAGATTCAGAGTTTCATTTATGTCAAATGAGGCCTCTCCTCCAATTGTATTCCAGTTCAGTTTCCTCCCACCCAAACGTGCTTTTCTCACAGACACTGGTCCCAAGAGCACTTCTTATCAAACCACTTGTTTGAGAATGTCCATTTTAGCATCTGCTTCCAGGGAAACCCAAACTGTGATAGATACCACTTCAATCTCATCTTCAGAAATTTGTAACAAATTCTCTAACCTCTATTTCTGTCTGCTTCATACCAAAGCTCTAAAGTTTTATTTTTCTCATCCTTACTTGCTCTTACATTTTTTTAATGCCGGAAGCAGTCTTCATGCAATCTGGCATTCAATTTTCATAGTATATTTATATGTGCTAAAAACCACCATTTTATCAGGAGCAAATATCCAGCTCTGAATTAAATTACCTCATTCCCCTGCCACCTCACCATAGATAGAACACAGCCTGACTTCTCTGTAGATATGAGTATTACAAAACACAAGGCTTTAGGAGCGAAACAACCATAAAACTCCTGTTCAATTTAAAACAAAACCATGCACCTTTTAGCCAAGTCCCACTGTCATCTCTTATCTCTAATGGCATCACTATAAATAGCAGTTTTCTTTTTCTTTTAAAATTGCTTCAAAGACTAATGTACAGGAATTCTTATAATTTTAACAAATGAATAGGTGGTGAAGGCATCTTTCCTCACCAATTGTGAAAGGGGCTTTTGTAGATTATAAAGACTATTTGGCTTTTTATTACTGAGACATCTAGGTGTCCAACACATCATTAAATCTTTATGTACTTTTAGAACGTTCTGAAAAATCTACTCACTTTTCAAATGCATTCAGTATATAAGCACTGCTAAAATAAATAGGGTGTTAAAATAAAACTTTTAAGTAGGCCTTTATAAGGTGAGATAAACAGTACTGCCAGATAAAATTTTTCTTGTTAAATTGGCCTTCATTTCTCAGACCTCCTACTTTTTTTTCTTCGAGTTGTCTAGCAACATGAAAATCCACAGATCTCAGGTGGTAGTTTAGATTTTTTCTTCTCTTTTTCCCCTGTTTTCAAAAGCTTTGCTTCCAGAGTAAAGAAGCAATGTTCTGGTTGATTCCTAAACAGTGTGTTTTAAAGTAATTTGGAAAACATGAAATGGCTAACAAGATAAATTTGTCTCTGTATCTATTGAAGTTTATGGATAAGATACTATAGTCAAGTAATCCAAGGTTTTTCTTGACACATCAATATGTAACGTAAGAGCAAGATTTAGTAGCAAAGTATCAATTTCACTGTAAATGGTGCATCACAATATCAATATATTAAATCAATCTCTATTCCCGTAACTCACCTTTCTTCCACTTATCCTTAAAGTCTCTCAACTCTAATAATCAGCAACTACTGAAGTGTGATAAATTATAGTATTCATCTTCCATTTTTCCTCCAGTACTCTAGATATTAGTCTCACCATAGGCGTAATTGCCATGTCATTTTAAAAAAGACATGAAAATAATTTTACTGTATAGTAGATATATATTTCAATCAACCTTAAGGTAAAATTAACATCGGAAACATGCACGACTGAATATTCATTAAACATGGAGAAAAAATCATAATTTGCAATTCATGCCATTCAATTAAATGTACCATTTAATGTGTATGTAAGGAAATTAAGTTTAGGAAAGTGTATATTACCTGTTTGCCTGTTAGTCTCTCTGCTCTTCCTTTCTTTCTTTCTTCCTATAGGTGCTATATTTCTCTTAGTACCCCAAGCATACAGCACTGCACAATTGTTGTAGAAATCTTTTATTGATTTCTCAAAAAGGAAATCAATTATTGATTGAATTTACAATAAGTTACTGCAATAAATCTCTATCAGCAGAAAGCCAAATCTATTTCCCCAACAAGTTCAAATAAGTACATCTACTGCATTAAGTGACTGCATTGAAAATGAAAGCATTTAAGAGGCTCGCTAAATAATATGTAAAAATTTATTTATAACTAGTAGAATTATTTGGGAACTATAGGAGCTAGTTAGAAACTAGTCTTCAACAAGGTAAGTTTGAAGTAAAATTGTATACTTTCACAAGTTCAAACCAAATAATCACATTCACATGAGATAAATAATATAGGTTGCTCATATTTTTCTAAAAATTCAAATGCTAGAAGGGATATGTAATTCAAAATATATAGTTTTTGACATTAAAACTGGCCAACTTATAAAATTCAGAATATCTGTTCAGGAACCCTTGCCCATAGTCCCTGGAATCTAAGGCAGATTCAGTAGAGCTAGTAAAGCAATAAATGAACTGGCCCAAAGCATTTAAAAGTGAAAGCCAGGAGTTACACCAAACTGAGCACTGTAATAGCTTTCTTATAGTGCATGACAGTGGAAAGTGTCTTTTACTCAAGAATCAGTATGGTTGACTAGAAAGGAATTTAAAGATCTGGTATGGTTTTATGAGATTAAGGAATAAAACTGTACATTATTTCATTCACTAAGTGAGCAAATTACTTCTCTGCTTGCTCTTGTTACGTCCTTATAAATTGGTGATAACCTTATCTTCCTTGTGAAAATCAACAGATGACATGAGGGTTAAATGGCGAATTTAGGGGGAAAATATCTGTAAATAATTACAAAATAGTGTCATTCTCCTTAAGTTAATTTGATTTTTATATACCACTAAGAATGTATGTAGTTGTTTTGAATCTACCACAAGCTTGTCAAGTAACTTGAGGTTTTGTTATTGTTGTTGGGTTTTTGTCCTGCCTGTTTCTTCCTTTATACATGAGAATTCTGAATAAAAATTGAGAGGATTCTGACCAAAGAATTAGTCCTCAGACTTACAGATTATTTCCTTCCTGGACACTGAGAGGTGACAGCGTGCTGGCAGTCCTCACAGCCCTCGCTAGCTCTCTGCGCCTCCTCTGCCTGGGCTCCCACTTTGGCGGCACTTGAGGAGCCCTTCAGCCCGCCGCTGCACTGTGGGAGCCCCTTTCTGAGCTGGCCAAGGCCGGAGCCCACTCCCTCAGCTTGCAGGGAGGTATGGAGGGAGAGGCGCGAGCGGGAACCAGGGCCGCGCGGGGCGCTTGTGGGCCAGCTGGAGTTCCGGGTGGGCGTGGGCTTGGCGGGCCCCGCCCCCGGAGCAGCCGGCCGGCCCTGCCGGCCCCGGGCAATGAGGGGCTTAGCTCCGGGGACAGTGGCTGCGCAGGGTGTACTGGGTCCCCCAGCAGTGCCAGCCCACTGGCGCTGCGCTTGATTTCTCACCGGGCCTTAGCTGCCTTCCCGCAGGGCAGGGTTCCGGACCTGCAGCCCGCCATGCCTGAGCCTCCCACCCCCTCCATGGGCTCCTGTGCGGCCCGAGCCTCCCCGACGAGCGCCACCCCCTGCTCCACGGCGCCCAGTCCCATCGACCACCCAAGGGCTGAGGAGTGCGGGCACACGGCACCGGGACTGGCAGGCAGCTCCACTTGCAGCCCTGGTGCTGGATCCACTGGGTGAAGCCAGCTGGGCTCCTGAGTCTGGTAGGGACGTGGAGAACCTTTATGTCTAGCTCAGGGATTGTAAATGCACCAATTGGCACTCTGTATCTAGCTCAAGATTTGTAAACACACCAATCAGCACCCTGTGTCTAGCTCAGGGTTTGTGAATGCACCTATTGACACTCTGTATCTAGGTACTCTGGTGGGGCCTTGGAGAACCTTCGTGTCCACACTGTGTATCTAGCTAATCTGGTGGGGATGTGGAGAACCTTGGTGTCTAGCTCAGGGATTGTAAACACACCAATCAGCGCCCTGTCAAAACAGACCACTCAGCTCTACCAATCAGCAGGACGTGGGTGGGCCAGATAAGAGAATAAAAGCAGGCTGCCCGAGCCAGCAGTGGCAACCCACTGGGGTCCCCTTCCACACTGTGGAAGCTTTGTTCTTTCACTCTTTGCGATAAATCTTGCTACTGCTCACTCTTTGGGTCCACACTGTTACGAGCTGTAACACTCACCGCGAAGGTCTGCAGCTTCACTCCTGAAGCCAGCGAGACCACGAGCCCACCTGGAGGAATGAACAACTCCAGACGCGCTGCCTTAAGAGCTGTAACACTCACCGCAGAGGTCTGCAGCTTCACTCCTGAGCCAGCAAGACCACGAACCCACCAGAAGGAAGAAACTCTGAACACATCCGAACATCAGAAGGAACAAACTCCAGACGCGCCACCTTAAGAGCTGTAACACTCACCGCGAGGGTCCGCGGCTTCATTCTTGAAGTCAGTGAGACCAAGAACCCACCAATTCCAGACAGAATACCATACCAGGAAGACAGACACCTAGGAAGTACTTGTAACTACAAGAACAATCATTGTTTCATTTATTTATCCACTAACACTTCCTTAATATCTGTCATGCATCAAGCCCCCTTGCAGACATTGGAAATACAAAGATGGATGTTACTGTAACATAGTTTTCACATGCTAAGATCTCATAACCCCTAGCCTGGAAATTCCTAAGGAATTTGACTCTGTAGGACTCCTGGGGAATAATTATCACCAACCTCTCACTCAGAGCCACTCGCTCTAGGTAGCATCAGCCTTAATAATAATGACAGACCTAGGACTGTACATAAGGAGGCAGCTACTAGCTTTTTATTAAAGTGGTATGTCCCAAAATCATGAGCCCATTTCTTAAACTCTGCCTCTTTCCAGTTAAATTCCTTTGGTCTCTGCACACTAGAATACACTACAGTCTAGTTCCATAGTGAAGTATTTAAGAGTTTAAGTATTTAAGAATGCAGCTATACTATCTGTATTCAAATCTTCATCTGAAAAGTAGAGATATTAATAGTACCTAAGATTTTGAAGAGACTTAAATGAATTATATTCATAAAGCACATAGAATGGTAGAATGATACTTGTTTCATAGTAAGGACTAACAAGTATTAACTACAATCATCATCACTGTATGCCACAGATACGTTTAGAGGTAATTGGTAACAAACTGCTTAATACTGAAATCAATCTTTCCTAGGACTTACAAATCTTGGTCTTGGAGAAAAGAGAAAAGCCATCTTCAGATCTCTCTTGTGATCTGCCTTGTACTCACCTAAATGCCAGAACCTACAGCAACAATGCCTTTGCATATAAACTACGCAGTTAAAACCTTCTCTCAGAAACCTGGTCCACCTCCAGCATTTCATCTCAGTAAATGATCACTTTAAACCAAAAAGTTACATAAGCCAGAAACCTTGCAGTCATCCCTCTTGGAACTTCACTTTCCACATCTATCAAATCAATCATGGAGTGCATTGGACTCTATTTTTGAGGTATCTCTGGATTCCATCTCTATCTTTCCATTTTTATTCCCATTGAACCTGACCCCTTAAATTGCAATAAGTTCAGCTGTCATGGCCATTTCTACTCCTCCATTCTCTCCACAGCCAACAGAATAACCTATTAAAAATATAAAAGTGAATATGTTTCTCCCCTCTAATGAAAAAGATTTTCATGGCCCTTGAAGCAAAATCCAAAATCATTAGCATGAACTACAAAGTCCTTTGGAATTTGGCACTGCCAGATTGGATTTAACTCAGGCTACTGATTTTCTTTCTCACATTTCTCTCACAAACGGGCCTTTTCTCAAATACTCCAGGCAACAGTGCCACCTTTACTTCCATAATTGCTGTTTCTTCAGCCTGGGAAGCTCCATAATCACACCTTCCCCCCATCTTTTTGCCATGCTAATGCTTATTCATTCATCTATCCACTCTAGATCAATTTCTCAAAAAAAACAGACTAAATTCTTTTTTGTTTGTTTCCTTTTGGAACAGAGTCTCACTCTGTCACCCAGGCTGGAGTGCAGTGGCAGGATCTCTATTCACTGCAACCTCTGCCTTCAGGGTTCAAGTGATTCTCCTGCCTCAGCCTCCCAAATAGCTGGGATTATAGGTACACACCACTACACCTGGCTATTATTTGTATTTTTAGTACAGATGGGGTTTCACCATGTTGGCCAGGCTTGTCTCGAACTCCTGACCTCAAGTAATCTGCCTGCCTCTGCCTCCCAAAGTCAAAGTTCTTTTACAAACTATACTTCTCTTTTCTGACACTTATCACTAATATAATTCAATTATGAATTGTATAATTCATTGTTTAGTATATGTTTCCACAATTATAACTTAAGTTCCACAAGGGGAGGGGCTTTGTATCTTTTATTCATAGCTGATTCCCATAGAACTTTATTTTTTTGATGCACAAAATTATTACATGAGTTAATTTAATATTGAGACTCAGTATTATGGTAAATAAAATAAGCCAGACATGGAAAGAAAGGTAAGGCATGACCTCACTTATATGTGGAATCTAAAAAAACACTGGCTACAGAGAAAGTGTGCAGAACAGTGTTTACCAGGGGTATGGAAGGGGAGGAAATGGGGAGAGGTACATCAAAGGGTACAAACATGCCACTACATAGTGATATGGTTTGGCTGTGTCCTCACTCAAATCTCATCTTGAATTGTAACTCCCACAGTTCCTATGTGTTGTGGGAAGGACCCGGTGGGAGGTAATTGAATCATGCGGGTGGGTCTTTCCCATGCTATTCTCGTGATAGTGAGTGAGTCTCGTGAGATCTGATGGTTTTATAATGGGGAATTTCCCTGCACAAGTTCACTTCTCTTTGCCTGTTGCCATCCATGTGAGACGTGACTTGCTCCTCCTTGCCTCCACCATGATTGTGAGGCCTCCCCGGCCATGTGGAACTGTGAGTCCATTAAACCTTTTTTCTGTATAAATTACCCAGTCTCTGATATGTCTTTATTAGCAGCATGAAAATGGACTAATACACATCGATGAACAAGTCTAGGGATCTAATTTACAACAGAATGACTATGGTTAGTATAGTTAATACTACTGTTTTGTATACTGGAAATTTGCTGAAAGAGCAAATTTTAGTTACTCTTACCACCCCCCCAAAAAAAAAAAAAGAAAAGAGATCTCACATAAAGATAATTATGTGAGATAATGTTTTTTGCTTACCTGTAGTAATTTCACTATGTATATGTATCAAAAAATGTATCAAAATAATCATGAGGTATACCTTAAGTATAAACAAGGAAAAATAAATTAAAAGGAAAAAAAAGATTCAGCAGGGTCACCATTGGCCAATTACTGGCTTACAGAACTTAGATTTTTTGAAAATCTAAAATCTTTATTCTTGATTCCCCATGTTATTTCAGAATAAGACAGAACCACCCCCACCTCTTAACTGTTTCACTGTTCTTTTATTAACAGAAAATTCTGGAATTCAGGTCTCAGTCCTGGAAGTTTTCCCAGCCCTTCACAATAGAAAAACAATTAGTACTTTATTCACCTGCTACAAAAATTAACATCATATTTTGTGCAAAAAAAAAAGAAATAAAAAGTTACTTCCATCCGTGGGAGTAGCTCGATGATTTTGCCTGAAATAGAAGTGATAACAACACCTAGTTCCAAGTTCAACAAGCATAGAGTATGAAAAATCTAAAACTAATCTGAATTTTTTTTAGGAAAATATATCTTTTAACTAGAACTGAATGGAAATGTGGAAATATTTCTAACTTTATATGAGGGTGTATCCAAACCCTGTATTAATGAATTCTAATTAATCACACTTTGCTTTATATTTGCCTGTAGCAATGCATATTTCAGGATAAATCTCCTGCAAGAAATCATTAAGATGATAAATTTTAGCCCATATTTCAATTATAAATGATTATTAAAAGCAAACATATGACTGATATATAAATTTCATTACAACAAAAACACATTACATACAAAAATCATTAATGAATTACACAAAAATTGTCCTTTCCTTTCTTCATTTAAGAAAAAATACTTCTGAGTCTTTGACTTATATTTTTGGCATCTTCTTTTCACCCTTTTTGAGAGATGCTCCTTTTTCAAAGACCAGTTTAAATGTCTCTATTCTTCAGAATGCTGAGTTGGCAATCCTGTTACTATGGTTTACCAAAGATCTGCTTTTCCTCCCTGGGAAAAAAAGTATACTCCCCCACCCCTCATAAGTCAGTTTTGGCCTTGTATCTTGCTTTGACAATGGAAATGTTAGCAGAAGTTTTATGTGTCACTTCCAGGCAAAAGCTGTAAGGGTTAATTCATGCTTCATCACATTCTTTTTCCCCTTGTATAATGATAAACAATGTTTCATATAAAAGTTGTTCTGGAAGGCTGCACCCAAGAGATAAGAGCAGAGTCTAAACCCACCCAATAAATATGTAGTGAAAGTAAGAAGTAAATCTCCATTACTGTAAATCACTGAGATTTGAAGGTTTGCTACTGTAGCATAACCACATCTACTCTTACTGATAGAGCTAACTTATTGTATCTCTGTCTGTTCCTGGCTTTATAATCTTGACTGTAGCTGCCACCTATATGCTGATTATGTCCTCCTAAAAGTCTTCATCACCAGGAATGACCATCTAAACCCGATATGTATTTTCCACATCCCTCGTGAACAATTTCATCTGGGTACCATTCAGGCAGTTTATAATGACCTTTTTTTTTTAAAAAAATGTTATACATGTTATTTTACTTCTATATTACTCATCTGTCAGAGTCTTCCTCACCTGTTTTCTCCCTCTCAGCTCCACTCCATATCTAATTTGTCATCAAG